>NC_000012.12:115187400-115338915 GCF_000001405.40 Homo sapiens
TGTGTGCAGCTGGTTCTCCTACTTTTTAACCCTCCTATATCCACTTTACTAGGTAGGCACTAGGATCAGTCCCATTTTGCAGAGGGGAAACCTGAAGCTCAAAGAGGTGAAATGAATTAGCTGAAGCCAGAACTAGGAAATGGCAGAGTCAATATTTAAGTCAGAGTTTGCCAAAGCATATGCCATTTCTGCTGGGCTACACTGGCCCTCAAAGAGCAGCTATTGATGAGGCCTCCTGAGTGCAAGATGTGGGGCCAAGTGCTAAGGGGAGAGGATAAGGGCATATTCATGGTCCTTGTCTTCTCCACAGAATCTCACTTTACTCATTGATACGGTTTGGCTCTGTGTCCCCACCACTCAAATCTCATCTTGAATTGTAATCCCCACATGTTGGAGGAGGGGCCTGGCGGGAGGTGACTGAATCATGGGGGCAGACTTCCCCCTTGCTGTTCTCGTGATAGTGAGTGAGTTCCCATGAGATCTGATGGTTTAAAAATGTGTGGAGCTTCCTTCTTTGCACTCTCTTTCTCTCCTGCTCAGCCATGGTAAGACATGCTTGCTCCCCCTTTGCCTTCTGCCACGATTGTAAGTTTCCTGAGGCCTCCCATCCATGCTTCCTGTTAAGCCTGCAGAACTGTGAGTCCATTAAACCTCTCTTCTTCATAAATTACCCAGTCTCAGGTAGCTCTTTATAGCAATGTGAGAACAAACTAATACATTAGCCTAGGATTTCAATGATTCCATTTATTTAATATTTGATTTACAAGTTGAAGTGAGTTGAATGGTGGTTCCTGAAAACAAGATGTGTCTATAGCCTAGCCTTGAGAAAGCATTTGGGAAAAGGGTCTTTGCAGATGTAATTAAGTTAAGGATCTCAAGATTAGATTATCCTGGATACCTCAGGTGGGCCCTAAATCCAATGACAAGTGTCCTTATAAGAGACAGAAGACACAGACAAAGAGGAGAAAAAGACATGACAATGGAGGCAGAAATTAGACTTATGTACCCATAAACCAAGGAATGCCTGTAGCCATCAGAAGCTAGAAGAGGCAAAAATGATTCTATTTGCTGCAACACCTTGATTTTTAGACTTCTGGCCTCCAGACTCTGAGAGATTACATTTCTGCTGTTTTAAGCCACCAAGTTTATGGCAATTTTTTTACAGAAGCCACAGGAAATTAATTACAGGTTCATAGCCAGGGAATTTTTAAAATGTGTATTTTGGACCTAGGATTGGGTGCCCCTGCCCCTTGCCCACCTCCTTAGATGTCCCTGTTTCATGCTCACTCAAGTCTGACTTCATATGCCTCCATACAAGGCCAGAACCTAATAACGACCTTGGTATCTCCTTACCTCAAAGCCTTTTCTAACCCTCCCTGATGGTTTATACACACTCCCTCCCAAGTGCCTGTGCTGTCTTTGAGGTCTGGCTCTGAGTGGCAGTACAAGATACAAGTGAAGTGCAAGGGGCTCTGTAAATGGAAGTTGCTTTACATCCCAGCTCTGCCACTGAGTCTTGCTTTCCTTTTCTGTAGAAATGGCATATTAGCAACTTCATAGGATAGAGATGAGGCTTAAATGGGAAAGTATATTTTAAACTCTAAGTAAAATGCTGGTACTCAATACATGCTAGTAATATTGGCAAAATGGAACCAATTTGAGAAATATAATTATTGAAAAGCTACATTAACTCATCTAGCTCAATTTAGTTTAATAAACTCTGTTGTGATGCTGTGGGAATGCACAGCTGGGTGGGATAGAGTGTGTGCTCTGGAAGAAATGGCTAAGGAGTTCATCATAAAATGCAGTTATGCTGCATTTTAATCCAGTTATGCTGGGTTAACCAGTACTGCCAAATGAAGGGTAAGGGCCTTGCCAAAATACTAAAATGGCCTGTTTTGTGGGAGGGATGAGGTGGGGGAGAATCTGCATTAAAGTCCAGTTCAGGAAAAAAAGAAAGGGCCACATCTTAGACCAAGCCCCATAAGAAGCATATAGAGAGTAAAAGTACTTCCATATTTCCGTTCAACAAACCGGATGGTAAGAAATGTAAAATCAAACCTATTACAAAAAGACAGAAGAAAAACATTTAAATGGCTGTTTTCATCTACGTGCAGCATGACATTGATGAAAATGTGAATTACAGTTGCTAAAAGGAGGATCTTTCACCAAGAGATGTCTTTGGTTACACGGTTCAACATCTTATTTTGGTCCAACACTAAAAGAAAGTCCATGTGACATGTCATCGTCTTGATCAGTCTTTGAAAATTAATGCCTGAACCAAAGGCTGTCAAAAGGCCCTCCTTTTCTTTTGGCCTTTAAAAGAAATATATTAATTTGCACATCACGTCATTTCTCAGCATTCCGGCTGCCATCTACCATTCTCCATTGGAAAAATAATTCTCTAGAATGCCCACAAGTGTGAGCGTCACTGTCATTTCTTGTTGATTTTTTTTTTGTCCCCGGCGGTTCATGTCCTGGATGTGTAATATGAATTTAGTGCCTTCTTATTAATAAAACCAGACGTCAACATGTGGCAGCTTCAATTCCAACCATCCTTCTGCACTACTCAAAGATGCCTTCCACTCTCCCGACTGGTTCTCAAGTGACCCTAAACCTAATTAACCTGAATTCCATCTCTCATCTCCCCAGGGAAAGGAGAAGCATGCCAGCCCTTCATCTTCCCCATTCCTCTTCCTCTCCACAAACTGGGACAAACTCTCTAGAGAAATCCTTTTCTTGTCCCAGGCACTGCAATCACCGGTTTCCTCAGAGTTCTGCCTGAAATGATGGGGTGTGTTTTTCATTTGAAAAGAGTCCACATCTGGGACTCACTTAACTTGATTTGGGAAGTCCTGTGTTTCTGATCCAAAAAAACAAAACAAAAAAAATTGCGAAAATAAGCCTGCATTTTTTTTTCTTCCAGTGTGGATTGATTTACTTCCGTTATACTTAGCTTGCAAGGAAAAAAGAAGAAGAGAGAGAGAACAATGAACAGTGAATCGACTTGGCTTCATGACCACCTTCCCTTGTTGGGTAACTAGGCCTTACATATGCGGACTGATTGAATTATTCCACTTCCACAGAGAGAGAGAAAGCAAGGACGAAATCTTCCTCCTGATTGCTGTCCCTTTGGGTTTCCTGCCCAGGAAAAATGGTGCAGGATGAAGGAGCAGCTATTAGAAACCACAAAGAAGCAAAACTAACTCATATATTTGGATTCAATCTTGGCTGGCTTGAATTACTAAGCTAAATAGTTGGAGCTTTATTCTGTAGTACTGGAGGCCCTTAAAGATATTTGGGTATAGAAAATATGCAGTGAATTCTAACCTCCAAACTCTACTGTTTACTGGGATATCTAAGTGATGGACCCAATATTAGAAAATCCAAGCATAAAAATTGGATATATGTGCATAATCTGGGGTGATGTGTAGAGATGATTATTTATATTATTAAACATTCATTTTTCCACATGAATACGCTATAATTCTTTTTTAAAAATAGCTAAACCCTCCACTTAAAACTTTAACCAATTTACAAAGAAATGAGTAATACATATTTTTATTATAGTTTTTTATAGCTAAACCTTCCACTTAATATTTTCTCTAATTAACAAAAAAGTTATATTCTTTTACTACAGTTTGTAGTAAAGCACTCTACTTAAAATTATATCGAATTTTCCAAAAATGAGTGATATATTTGTTTAATAAAAGTTTTCTAAATAGCTAAACCCTCTACTTAAAATTTTTATTAAATTTAAAAAAAATCAAGTGATGCATCTTTTTTCAAAATAAATTTGCCTAAATGTGGATGCATCTTTGAGTTACAGAAGTTGAATCTAACCTTTAATTAGAATTAGAAAAAAAAAAAAAAACCTGGGGAAATACCTTGTGTGTGAGAAAACACGCACACACACACTTTTGGATATAATCTGCGTGAATTGTGTATGTCAAAGTCTCTACACCCCAGAAAATCATAGCTTTGGATATGAAGCTTACATATCGCTATTGCACATATATTTCTATTGCACACAATAATTGTTTACATTTTTTATTATTATACAACAGAGAGGGTGGAGATAGGAGGGCTGGAGATTGCAACATTAGCCAAATCTGAATTCAAAACACATTTTCACCAGTTACTAGCTCTGCCATCTTGGGAAAATTATGTAATATCATACATAATAATAGTGTCTACTTTGTTGGGCCTTTTCCAGGATTAAATGAGTGAAGGTAATACCTGGTGCTTGATACGTTTTATAATTTATTATTTCAGGATCAAGATTATAATTAAATATGAGGAAATAAAATATTATAATGAAATAATGTATTTAAGCATTTAATACAATTCCTGGAACCCAATGAATATTCAACAACTTTTTAGGGCCCTAGCCAAAGAAACAATCAACCCAGTCATTCTTAAGTACATTGAATGAAAAACAAGGGTTACATCAGCTGAACAAACCTATAATCAGGACAGAAAACAGCAGAGTTTAAGCCCCTTCACCAAGGGAACTGAATTTTACTTTTGTGGCAGAACCTAAATTTCAAACTGAGTTAGATTGGCTTTGGGAAGAAAATCAAGCAGTTGTCTTGACATGAGGATTCTTCAACTGCCTCCAGTAGTGCTTTCAGCTAACACTGTTAAGTGCTCAATGTACGTCAGGCATTGCTCTAAACTCGTGACGTATGTTAATATTTAATGCTCACAAAAGCCCTATGAGGCTGATATTGTTATTAGCCCCATTTTACAGTTGAGAGCTCTGAGTCACAAAACAATTCATGTTGCCTAGTTAGCAGCAAAGCTGGGATAAACCCAGGTGCCTGCTCTTTATCATTACCTTTACTTCCTTTCATGTATCTATCTGCTCTGTGATATATTCTGGCAAAAGAAAGACCTTTATTCTACAGATAAAAGATGCAGATGCTGTAAAATTTGCATTCTAGGCAATTTATAGGGTGGTAAGAGAGATGAGAATGCAGCCTTGGAAGCCATTATGGTTGGTTGAAAGCACTTTGAAAAGCTGTTGCCCCACACCTGTCTGGTCGACCAATAGGAATGCTCCGTCCAGAATGGTGGCTACAATGCCCAATAGGAGAGATTCATACTGAATGACATCAAACTGGCCCAATAGGAAGGGTTTATATTGAATGGTATCAAATCAGTCCAATAGGAGTGCTGCCTATGAAACCGGGAAAGGCAATCCAATCCAGTTCTCCCTTTTAGAATTTGATTACTGAGGCCAGATGCGGTGGCTCACACCTTTAATCCCAGCACTTTGCCAGGCCAGGGTGGGCAGATCACTTGAGGTCGGGAGTTCAAGACCAGCCTGACCAACATGGCGAAAACCCGTTTCTACTAAAAATACAAAAATCAGCCAGCATGGTGGTATGCGCCTGTGTCTTTAACCCAGCTACTCCGGAGGCTGAGATAGGAGAGTCCCAGGAGGCAGAGGTTGCAGTGAGCTGAGATCGCGCCACTGCACCCCAGCTTGAGCGACAGAGTAAGACTCTGTCTCAAAAACAAACAAACAAACAAAAAAAACAACCACTTGATTACTGAATCCTAGATGTGTAAAAGGAAGGGTGCTTACTTGAGCTTAAATCGTTGTTGATAAAGACGCCGAGTTCCTGTTTCACCTCTCAGTTTGATTATTCAATAAATGTTGACTGGGGCCGCTATCTGGCCATTCACAAGGCCGGGGCTAGGCACAGGGAGGTGGGGATCAGTGAGCAAGACTGGGTTCCCACCCTCAGGGAGTTTGTAGTCTAATGGGAAAGACGTAAATTACAACCTTTTCAATTATGTAATTAGGTTTTGGACAAGTGCATTTGAGGAAGTCATCTTAGGTTGGCATGAAGTATAAATACTTAGAGGTGATATTCAAGATAGTTAACAATCAGAACAGTCTACCTACCAACAATTAGGACTGATGTGGGGCTTAAACAATTTACACACTGGTTGAAGGTGAGCTCCTTTTGGGTGGGACCAGGCAGGAGAGGATGGTGATGGTTTTCCTGAGGAATTGAGTTTACTTTTTTTTTTAATTAAACTTTTTATTTTTAGAGAAGTATAAAGTGTTAAACTAAACGTGGCCTGAGGATGCCCCTGTATCTTCAGTAATATACTACAACCTAATTTAGTATGTAAACAAACTGAAGCCTCATTAAAAGTATTTTATTTTTTATTTTTATTTTTGGTAATTGGCTGAGTCTCAGCCAATGGCAGCAGCCAACCTTCAGCCAATTGTCAGTGGCCAGCGGATCAGACTATATCCAAATAAGGCAACCAGGGAATTATAACCAGTTAAGCTGTTTCTCTGTCTCACTTATGTTGTCTGTTTGTGAATGCTTCCCGTCCATATTGTGGAGGAGAGTCCCATGAACTTCTTCTGGTTCTAAGGCCCGCCAGATTCACGAATGGTTCTGTGTTCAATTAAATGCTGTTAAATTTAATTCATCTGAAGTTTTATTTCTTTTAACAAGAGTCACATATAGTTCTAAGAAATAATATAGAGACATCCCTGTGTACCCATCACCAAGTTTCCCCATAACATCTTGCAAAACTATGGTACTTATCGCGTCCAAAGATTTCAGATATTTTTAAAAATAAAGTTGAAACTAAGTTTTGAATAGGTTATATATGCACATGAAACAAAAGCTAAAATTTACAAAAGGGGAGACAGGGAAAAAGTGGGTATTCTCCTGTGCCTTCCGGATACCTCGTTGTCCTCCCTGGAGTCAAATGTTGTTACAATTTTCTTGCCTATCTTTTCCCAAATACTTATAAATTTGCAAATATTATAATCCTCTATATGTATATATGTATGTATTTTTTCTCCATACAGTGAGCGCATATATCTGCAATTATGAATCTTGCCTGTTTTACTAAATATCTTGAAAAGATTATTTATTTATTTATTTATTTATTTATTGGTAAGAAATGAACCCTGGAGTTGAGTTTGAGAAACCTGAAAAAACAGGGTGGAAGAGCATTCTTGGCAGAAGGAGGAACATGAGCCAAGGTCCAGAAACAGAAAGAACACTGATTTTTCAAGAAAAAGGAAAGAGACTATTATGTCTGGAGGACAAAGAAGGAGGAGGAGAATGGCCGGGTAGATCACTGATTCTCAGGCCACTTTCTGAGGGACCATTGAACTTGCTTACATTCTCCAGGTGGCCTATACCCTGAGGCCCAGAGTCACTGTATGGCTGATGAGGACACTTCCCGCTGCAGGTCAGCTCCTCACTCCGTAGACCTGCCAGACGCAGGGAGGCTGCTTGTTCCTGAGGCCTGGGGAATAGAGCTGGCCAAGAGAATTGCTAGTTTTCCCAAAACCCACTTTCTTTCTTCAGCCCCGCCCTCAAGACTTTTTCCATGCCCTGCCTGTCTTCTCAGACAGTTAAGGACATGACAAAGAGCAATGATTAAGGACAGCAATTCTTGCCTTTTTGTTTTTTGCTTAATTTGAAAGAGACAGCAAGATGGGAAAAATGTGCCTCTGATTATGACCCCCCTGTGCTTCCTAAAAGCTTCTTTCTCAACTTTTAAGTCTCCTCAAGTTTCAAACCCTCTCCTTTTCTTTCCCCTGTTCTTTCTTCCTCTATTTAAACTAATCTACAAAAAGCTATAAAAAGCCTCTGACACTATAAATTCCCCTATAAACCCTGGTTTTATAGGTTTAATTGCCCCTTTTTACAGTGCTGCATGCCTGGGTCCTGAAACACTTTAGTTTTGCAGGACAAGTTCAAATTCATAGTAAGAGTCTGGGCCACCCTATGATGGGGTTTTGAACTCTGGCAGTCCACAAGGCAACTCGTTCTGGCCTTGGCTGAACAATTATTTTCTCAGGTAGCCCAGGACCAAAATGAGACATGTTTCTATGTGAGAAAATAGCCACATCCTCAGAGAATGCCACGTTCTCTAAAGTCTCCTGAAGCCCCAGAGTTAGTTCTGGTCAGAGAGAGTGCCCATAAAAGCAACATCAACAATGCCACAATCACCGTTTATCAAGTGCTAGTAACTGTGTAAAATGGATTTTACGTGCATAAACCTCACTACAACTCTGCAGGCTGGGACCATGGTTATCACCCTTATTACAAGGGAAGACACCTAGGCTCAGATATTGAAGTCATTTGCTGGGGCTCACACAGCAGAGCCAAGACTACCATGAGAAGGGTGAGCCATTCACCTTGGACCCAGCTTTTAAGGGGCACCCAGCACCTCAGTAATCAAGAAAATAACATTTGAATACGATCTTTTAACAAAATCAAACTGATAAACTATGGCCCGCAAACTGGCCACATGGTTTTTATAAATAAAGTTTTATTGAAACCAGGGCTGGGATTAGGGTGAGGCAAGTAAGGCTGAGTTGTACAAATGCAGGGTTGGAGCCTGTCTTTATTGAAATGTTTGATATTTTCTTCATCACACATTTTTAAAATTGATTTTTAATTTTTTAAACTGAGAGAGGGTCTTGCTCTGTTGACCAAGCTGCGGTACAGTGGTGTGATTGCTGCTCACTGCAACCTCAATTTCCCTGGCTCAAGCAATCCTCCCACCTCACCTTCCGAAGTAGCTGGGACTACAGGCACATGCCCACCTTGCCTGGCTAATTTTTTTTATTTTTTGGTAGAGACGAGGTCTATGTTACCCTGGCTGGTCTCGAACTCCTGAGCTCAGGTGATACTCCCATGCCTCCCATGTGCTGGGATTACAGGCATAAGCCATGGAGCCTGACCCTTTTCTTTTCTTTTCTTTCCTTTTTTCTTTTCTTTTCTCTTCTCTTTTCTTTCCTTCCTTCCTTCCTTCGTTCCTTCCTTCCTTCCTTCCCTCCCTCCCTCCTTCTTTCTTTCTCTCTCTCTCTTTCTTTCTTTGTGTTTGTTTATTTATTTAATTATTTTGAGATGGCGTCTCGCTCTGTCACCCAGGCTAGAGTGCAGTGGCATGATCTCAGCTCACTGCAGCCTCTGTCTCCTGGGTTCAAGTAATTCTCCTGCCTCAGCCTCCTGAGTAGCTGGCATTACAGGCATGCACCACCATGCCTGGCTAATATTTTTGTATTTTTAGTAGAGACAGGATTTCACCATGTTGGTCAGGCTGGTCTCAAACTCCTGACCTCAGGTGATCCACCCGCCTCCGCCTCCCAAAGTGCTGGGATTACAGACGTGAGCCACCACACCCAGCCTATTTATTTATTTTTTGAGACAGAGTCTCTCTCTGTCTCCTAGGCTGGAGTGCAGTGGTGCGATCTCAGCTCACTGCAATCTCTGCCTCCCAGGATCAAGCAATTCTCCTGTCTCAGCCTCCGAAGTAACTGGGACTACAGGCATGCACCACCACGCCCAGCTAATTTTTGTATTTTTTAGTAGAGACAGCGTTTCACCATGTTGGCCAGGCTGATCTCGAACTCCTGACCTCAGGTGATCCGCCCCATCTCAGCCTCCCAAAGTATTTATTTTTAAAACACTGCAGTAGAGTATGTATTATGGAGTCTTTGGGCACCAACTTAAATTTCACCCCCAAGGCAAATGTCTCACTCACCTTAGCCTAGTCTTGGCCCCATCACACAGTAAGAAACACCGAACCCAATGTGATAATCTGTTTCCTAGCTGACCTCCAAGGCAACTAGAGATTGTGTTCAAGAGGCCACTGTTTCTCCCCAATGTATTCACTGCTGCTTTGTGGAGTAGCAGCAAGTTGTAGTGTCTTCCCTGCAGACCTTACCTGTTTAGCCCAGAGAGGGGACTATTTCCTGTGTAAGGTTGCTTCAGGAGTACTCACAGCCTCAAGTACAATAAACCTGATGCTTCCTTGCAACCCTGTGTGCTCATCAACACCTTTGTAGCTGTCTCTTTCGGCTCTGGGGGACTCCTCAGACATTACTATCCATTCATTCATTCATTTAACAGATATTTATGAAGGACCTATTATTTTCTTAGACATAACAGTAGGTACTGGACATAACAATAGTGAAAGGAAAAGTAGATAAAAATTACTGTCCTTGGGGAATTGAGTTCAATTTAAGGAGAGAGATGGCAAACATAAAAATGAATATATTACATAGAATATTACAATGTCATGAATGATGTAAAAAAAGTAGAACAGTCCAGGTGTGGTGGCTCACGCCTGTAATCCTAATACTTTGGGAGGCTGAGGCAGGAGGATTGCTTGAGGCCAGGAGTTCGAGACCAGCCTGGCCAACATGGCAAAACCCTGTCTCACAAAAAAATACAAAAATTAGCCGGCCGTGGTGGCAGTGGCACCCGCCTGTAGTTCCAGCTACTCTGGAGGCTGAGGCAGAGAATCACTTGAACCGGGGAGGCAGAGGTTGCAGTGAGCCAAGATGGTGCCACTGCACTCCAGCCTAGATGACAGAGTGAGACTCTGTTTCCAAAAAAAAAAAAAAAAGGTAGGATGACATAAGTCAGACTGAAAACGTTAAGGTGTAGAAGGGGTGACAATTTAAAATCGAGTGCTCAGCACAGGCATTACTGAGAAGGTGACAGTTGAGTAAAAAGCCCTTGAGGGAGTGAGGGAGTGAGCCCGCTGGATGACCAGAAGTATGTTCTGCTCAGGGGAAACTTACAGTGCAAAGGCCCTGGGGTACGAGTGTGCCTGGTGTGTTCCAAATATCAGTGACATGAAGCAGAGTGACAGAGAAAGACATGGTGAGAGATGAGGTCAAGAGCTCCTAGGCAGGAGAAGGGGCAGATCATATGGCTACTACTCGTCATGAGTGAGTCATTGAAGAGTTTGAGGACAGAGGTGACACGATCCGCTATACATTTAAACAGGCTCACCCTGGTGTACCCATTCTCTCTGACATTCTATTATGATTCTGTGATACCATCTAGGGCCTAGTTCAGACCACACAGAGAATAAAGTCCAGGGAGGCCAGTGAGAAGGCTCCTGCAGTCCTTTAGGTGTACAAAGTCATGGATTGAACCAAGATGGACAAAATGGAAGAGGGGGGAAGTGGTTCATCTTTTCTCCAACCTCTCCCTTGTATGTGAAAATGTTTATAGTCCCATTGCATGCAAAATGGCCACTGAGTCTCTCCAGGAAGGCCGGCAAATTTGCCTATACAGGCTGCCTCTTTTGGACGTATACTGAGCAGTGAGGTTTCCAGGGACAAGCGACTTCAGAAATTGAATGCCTGACTTTGCATCCTGCCCCTGGCTTGATTAGCAGTAAGACCTACCATGCCAGGGCACTTTCCCTCTCAAAGTCTCTCTGCATGCTCAATCTATAAAATGGAGACACTATCCACCTGTAGAGTATCACGATGAGAAATAACAACTAGGATACAGAAGGTACCCAGTATGACTGCAAACAGTCATCTCTTGGTCCGGAAACATGACACTTATTTTTAAAGTGGTAGGCACAAGAGTTTATTGTTGTGCTCTTTCGTTCTACCTCAAAAGTTCTCTCCCTGAAAGTTGGCAATGAAGGATGGGTTGCTTCAGGCCAGGTAAATGTCCGGGTTACATGCAGATTGTGAAGCAGGGGGGATAACCATCACTCAGTAAAGTGTTGTGTTAGAGCCGTTCTTTCCACCTTCCTGAGAATTAGCTTTTTTTTTTTTTTTTTTTTTCCTCCCTGCCTTTCCAGCTTGTCAGAAATCTAAAACCAGGTTTGAGAACTGGCAGAAGGGAGAGAAAGTGAGAACATGACCTTTCTGGGGGCAAGGGAGGGAACTTGGAGGGTGTGATGGGGTCTTAAACGGGGAAGTAAGAAGACCTTCAAAGCAAACTTTTCTACATCAGTATGTTGGCAGGGTCTGCATTTTAGTTGTATTTGCATTTTCTTTTCCTCTGCCATTAATTATATTCCATGTAAGAGCCAGGAGCCCTGGATTCCAGGGCTGGAATTGCTGCTGATTTTCTTTCTGGCCTTGTCTGTCTGCTTTTCCCCTCCACCCATGCAGGGCCTTTTCTGGTTTTTCACACGTTATATTTCCTTCCGCTTCCAGATCTTTGCGTAGGCCTTGAATACCTTTTCCTTCAGCCCATCACCTGGCTTCCTCTCCTTCACATTCTTATTCATGCAATTTCTCCCCAGGAAATCCTTCCATAAGGGTCGCCACCTGCACCCTAGAGAGAGCGCCCTGGCCCCTACAACTTCAGCTTTACTGCTGCCCTCTGTGCGTGGATATGAATTTAGTTCATCATGTGTAATAGTTGTGTTAATGTCTGCCTGTTCTACCAGCCTGGAAGCTCCAAGTCAGGGCCTGGAGCTCAGTGGGTACCCAAGAAATACTTGTTAATAGAACAACTGACTCTATGGCCTATTATTTTGCTCTTAACCTCCTTGAGCTGCAGGGGTCCCAAATGTAAAATGAGTGCAAGTTGATTTCAAAGGGTCTCTGACATTCTATTATGATTCTGTGATACCATCTGGGGCCTAGTTAGGAGGACATAGTAAATTGGACTTTGACCAAGGCCTGGGGCTGCCATGGTCCCTGTGAGATGAGATGCATTCTTACTGACCACTGAGCCAGGGAAATGGAGACCGGTCTTTTCATCTCAGTCAAAAGATTGAAATCTCTGACAATACCAGAGATTATCTGCCTTCCTTGATTATTGCTCAACCTCAGAGTTGAGGGCCAAGAGAACAGCTTGAATATTACCCAAATCCATCTAGGTTTCCCTGGGAGTCACTTTCCAACTCAGGGCCTGATTCTGCTTTGAGAAAGAAGATGATGTCATTGTTAGGAATTAAAGGCATAGAAAGATATTCACTGACATACATTAGTGATTGGAAAGAAACTAAGCTCTGCATGTTTAACAGTGTTTCAATATGGAGTCCAGACTGAAGGTTCAAAAAGACCTGTCTGCAAAGCTAGCTTATGAGGAATGGAGCGTTATGCTGTGATAACTAACAGTGGGTGAAAGATCCTTAGGCCCAGTCCACTGATTTCCTGCTGTGTACATTTCAACGGGTAAAAACAAATAAACAAACACTCCTGCTCTGGTTTCTTGGTGAGGGGAAGGCAGATCACCAACGGGGGCTCAGTTCTGGCTAAAGTCCTCCAAGGGACTTTGGTCAAGACCTCACCTTCTTCTGTACGACAGCATTTCTGAAGCACCTGGGAAAGTCTAAGGGAAAAATTATGTACTAATTCTTTATAAGTACAAAAAGGATCATTCTTATTCTACCTGAAGGGATGAGACATTGTTCTAACCACACTCTCAGACTTGGTCTCATGCCCGAAGACTGACCTAGGCATCTTTTTTGGCTTTTTTTTTTTTTTTTTTTTTTGAGACAGAGTTTCATTCTTGTTGCCCAGGCCGGAGTGAGATGGCGTGATCTCAGCTTACCACAACCTCCGCCTCCCGGGTTCAAGCGATTCTCCTGCCTCAGCCTCCCGAGTAGCTGGAACTATAGCATGCACCACCACGCCTGGCTAATTTTGTATTGTTGGTAGAGATGGGGTTTCACCATGTTTGCCAGGCTGGTCTCAAACTCCCGACCTCAGGTGATCTGCCTGCCTCGGCCTTCCAAAGTGCTGGGATTACAGGTGTGAGCCACCATGCCCGGCCTTTTTTTTTGCTTTTTTATACCATTTGGAGTTCCCCATTGACTCCCCTATAGAATAAAGCCAACATGGTGTCCTGGCAATGCCATGCTAGAGTGTGTGCTCAGTGAGCATGTGGTCAGTGAGTGTGTAGTCAGTGAGTGTGTTCTAGCGGTAGGAAGACTGGGGTTGAGTTGGGGTTGTGATGTTTGTTGGCTGAACTGCATTGGTCAGGTTATGTATGTCCCAGAGCCTGTTTCTTCAACCGTCTGACGGGCATGATGATGACAATTGTGCCTACCTTCTAATATCTGCTGTAATGTTTCACGGACATATTATATGTCAACACTGAACACAGGACCTGGCCCCAAATTTAGCGTTTTATGCAGATCAGCCATTATAATTGCTATTTTCCACTGTCTGGTTCTTATTTTCATGCTTTGCTACTATTTTCTTCCCTTCTTTCCCTAAGGGCTTCAGCTGCCCACCTCATAAGCCTTTCTCCCTAAGATGCTACTACTATGCAAAAGCTGTAGCCTTCACATACAGAGCTTCTCCCCACTCTATAAACCCTTCCTTACTTTTCAAGACCCCGTGCTGAAGTTGCTATGAGGAATAAGCAAATGGCATTTATTCAAGCAACCAGCATATATTAGGGGCTTAATAAAGGGTTTGCTGAAACTGTTGACACTGAAACAAATAGTTTACCAAAAAAAAACTATAGCTTTAAAAGGTAGCATTTCTTGTGTCTTGCCACAGCAAAACCTCTATTCTGGAAATTCTACAATTAAAGATTTGTTTCCCTAGGAGAAATAAATATGGGATTAAGTGAAAATGCTGGTTTACATTTAATTATTAACGCTGCAAAGTGCATTAAGTTATACTTAATCACCTGCATCCTTGCGTGAATTACTTTCTTCATTCCTATTTACACTGACAAGTAGCTGAGACTCAACTTTTAAATTTTGGGGTATGTGGTAGGAGAGGATAGGGAAAGAAAGGATTGAGAATTTTGTAAGGTGACAGGGAGGGAAATCAAGAAGCAATAAAAACATACTGTAGGAGGATGCAGATAATCCGCAAGATAAACTTTCTCCATTTCTCAGTAAGACTTAGCTCATGTGTTTGCTGAATGAATAATTTACTGCTCTCAAACTCATTTCTACACTTTCTCTTAAGCTTTGAACCTGGTGGCTGGATTGTTCATTGACTACGTCAATCTGTACTGTCCCAGATTTTCTATAGTGTTGCTCAAGTTTCCTCTAGATTTCTCCATGTGATAAAGGCTTCTGAGAGAAAGGGAGAGTGTGTATCCTGTTTACTATCATCATGAACTCAGCATGTCACACAGCACCTGTCATATATATGGTTGGCACTCTCTCAATATTTCTTGAACTGAATACTCAATCTGTTTTGCCACCAACTTATGCTCGTGTTTTCCATGTTAAGACTTTTATTTTCTACTGTATGTTATCATTTTATAATAGCCGACCCTGACAAGCCAACTCTCCTTACTTATTGCATCTCAGGTCTAGAATTTATTGGCTTAAAAGTGAACAAAGCTTCTCATCATGTTTTCTGCAATATCTTCTGAAACTTCTGCTTATTCTTATAATTGTCTCTTTGGTTTTGCAAAATTTTCATGAGTCTGGGCTTTCTTTATTAACTCAGATATTTGACCCAACTTGTTCCATAACATAAATGTATTGTTTATAGGGGGTTTATATTGAATCTCTTTTCTTTCAAGAGCAAGGGGAACAGAGAAAGTGATAGGAGCCCGTGTTTAAGCAATTTGTTGGGGGGGATGTTTGTTTTTGCTGTTCAGATCTAAGTAGGGTCCATATCCCCACTCACCAACCCACACTCTCTCTCCCTCTCTCTTTTGTTTTTTGTACTTTATTTGAGTTATTTTCTGCAAATTCCTGAATACCAGATCGGGTGAGGAATTGAAGGAGCTTTGACTAGACTGTGGGCAAAGAACTGACTTATTACCAATTTGGAATTCATTCATTCATCCACTTCTTTAGTCAATAAACATTTATGGAGTGTCCGCTGTGGGCCAGAACCTGAAGTAGGTTCTGAGGATACAATGAATTGTAGACTGGGCACAACCCCTGTTTTCACAGAGCTTACCATCTCTGGGAAGTTGAACAGTTAAACAAGCAATGGCAGTATGTCATGAGTAGGACGGCAGAGATTCTTCGAGCTCATCTGATACATGGAGCGCCCGCTGGATGACAGGAATTATACGTGGTACTTTTCACAATTTCTCTGACTTTAATTTTCTCATCTTTAACTGGGGAATCACCATGGGACTTATTTCATAGAGCTGTCATGAGGAGGACAAGCTTTGTAGTTGCAAGGCACTTAGGATAGTGCCTGGCACATAAAACTGAGAGTTCACTTTATTTATGGCACTTCCCCATTGTACCCCCCATTTACAGGTGAAGAAACTGAGGCTCAGAACACTTAAGTTGTTGATCTTGGGTCCCAAAGGCATCTAAGAACATGGAGAAATCTGGGAGACTTTTAAGACCTGCCTTTTCTTAACGCAAGCCTGAGGGAAATTGTCATGCTCACAGTGTTTTGCCCCTGCAGCGGACTTTCTCAGACCAGACTTGTGGAAAACTACTACAGAGCACACTCTTCAGGAACTGTGGAAAAAGCCTAACCTAGTCCAGAGCCGAGGCAAAGTAATTATACACAAGCTAAATTCAAAACCAGCGATGTTTTGAGGTTTTTGGTCCCCCATCCCCAACCCCCGAGCTCTCTCAACTCTGAAAAACCAAAAAACCCATTTTCTAATAATAGGCTTTCTTCTATGATTTCTGGATTCAAGGTAGGTAAGAAATAGGAGAGAGATAAATGATTCAGAGGCCCCGAACAAGATCATTTGGCCTGTGGTTTTGGGAGGATTTAACAGCTGTGAGTGAGACCTCAGATCCAAGCCAACCCTGAATCCTGCATGCAGTTTGGCAAGACCACAAGTGCAATTTATCTGAAAACATGAAAGAATCTTCCTCTTCCTACTGCCAACTGGGACCCCAGCAATGGAAATGTTGAGAACTGGTTTGATCTTACTGCTCTTCCAATCGTGCTTCCTCAGCCATCAAAAAAGCAAATAAAAAGCCCATGCCTTCATTTTCTCTCTGAGGCTCTGTGCTCACAGACAAAACAAAACAACCGAACAAAATAGAAAAACAAATAAAAAACCCTCAACTTTCTTGAGATGTAGAAGTTCTGATTTCAAATACTAAAATTTGGGGTAAAAAAAATATCCAAAATAGGGGATAGGCTGTTATAAGGTAAAATATGACATCTATAAGGCAGAATATTGAGTTACTACTAAACTGATCTTCAAAAAATGCTTCTAGTATAATGTTAAGTTAAAACAAAAAGCAGGAACTTGAGTGATCCCATCACATAAAGAAAATACATGGGAGAAAAATGACTAGAAGGAAATGTCCCAGAGCATTTGTCTTTGGGTGGGAGGAGTCTTGGTGATCACTTTTATTTATCATCAATTTGATTACCTCCCCTGCCTGGCCCTCCTCCCAGCAAAACATCCCAGGAGGAAATCTGCACCATAATAGAATCACTCCAACTCTTAGCAATACATCAGTAACAATTCCTTGCTCCGGAAGTTATTCAGGTAAGAAGAAACTTCCCATTGAGGCAACTCTTACCTTTCACACAGAAAGACCTTGCACTCCAGCCTGGGCAACAGAGTGAGACCCTATCTCACAAAAAAAAAACAACAAAAAACAAAAAAAACCCTCTATCTGATACAAATTAGCATAGTTATGTTATCATAGTAGTACTTCCCAAAATACATTTCACAGAATATGAATCCTAAGAGATGCTCCCTTCAAAAGGGTGTACATTTGGGAATTTGGAAATGGCCTGGACTGCCTGTGGTTCCCACTTTTGAAGGTTCACCGTGCATCTTGGTGATTGAAGGTGTTGAGAAATCCTGCATGCAAGCTTATTCACTTTGTGGAGCCCAACTTGCCACAGTTCTTTGTTCACATGCTCCTGTATTTCCTGTAATACCAATTGTCTTTTCATGGGACTAGAATTCAGGAGAATAACAGTAAGAAATAAATTATGTTAGAGTAGAGAAATGATCACAATCCTTCTCCCTTCCCAGTGAAACCGTCTTTGCAAAATTATGACGGGGACAGTGAGAGAGGTCTAGCCTAACCGACTCCATCTTCGTTCTCACCTTCAAGCTTTCCTTGTTCTTTCCCGGACATAGGCTGAACCAACTTTGGGAGGAATTTAGTTTATAGTTTATAACAAAGACGATAACAGCCCTTTCCCAAAACAAACCTCTTTCTTGCCTGGAGACTAGACTGCCTTTGTAGGACTAACAAATTATCCACAAGATTAGAAATAATGGTTTAGAAGTCATGCAGCTGGAGGCTACAAGATTCTGACTCTCCCTAAACTGCTCCTAAGATCAGTGCTTAGGATACTTTGCAGACCCTGCACTTGATGGAGTAGCTGGCACCACCCACATGGATAAACTGGCTCATCTGATCTTGTGGCTTCCACCCAGGAACTGACTCAGCACAATAGGACAGCTTCAACTTCCCACGAGTTCATCTCCTACCCAACCAATCAGCACTCCCGACTCACTGGCCTTCCCCCACCCTCCAAATTATCCTTAAAAACACTGATCCCCGAATGCTCAGGGAGACTGATTTGAGTAATAATAAAACTCCAGTCTCCTGCATAGCCTGCTTTGTGTCAATGACTCTTTCTCTATTGCAGTTCCCCTGTCCTGATAAATGGGCTCTGTCTCGGCTGTGGGCAAGGTGAACCCATTGGGCGGTTACACCAGTATCTGTGCTTTTTGTAGTGTGGCGTTACAGATCCCCGTCATGGAGAACTGGAGTCTATTTCCTTGTCCTTGAATCTAGGCCAGCCTCGTGATTTGCTTTGGTGAATAGAAAGGATCAAAAGTGACAGAGGGCAGCGCTGAGCCTAGGCTTCAAGAGGCCATAGGCACACTTGCATTTTCTCTTGGAATTCTACCCCCACCATGAAAGCAAGCTGGAGCCACCCTACTGGAGCAGGGAAAGACCATACCTGTGAGCAAGACATTTCAGCTGAAGATCACTCCCCTGATCAGCCAGCCCCCAGCCAATACCAGAGCTGACTGCAAACAAATCAGTGAGTCCAGCCAAGACCAGAAAAACAACCCAGCTGAACTCAGCTCATGCTAACTCAAAGAATCGTGATCTAAATAAATGGTGTTTGTCAGCCACTAAGTTTGGGGGTAGTTTGTCACGCAGCAAAGGCTGACTTACATATATTCTATAGTAGGGATAGCTTTTAATCAAGTAAATTCTATTTTTAAAAAGTAAATAATTTGCAACTTTAGGACTTTATTATGCATAACAAATAACTTGCAACAAACATCACAAGTAATTCTGATACAATCATGTATGTCAATCAGGCTGAGGTGAAGAACTGCTTTTGAAAACACAAATGTGAGGTTTTGGCTGTTTCTATTCTATGTCTTTTCTTTTTTCTTTTTTTTGAGAATGGAGTCTTGCTCTGTCATCCAGCCTGGAGTGCAGTGGTGTGATCTCGGCTCACTGCAACCTCTGCATCCCAGGTTCCAATGACTTTCTTGCCTCAGCCTCCTGAGTAGTTGGGATTACAGGCATGCACCGCCACTGGCTAATTTTTGTATTTTTAGTAGAGATGGGGTTTCGCCATGTTGGCCAGGCTGGTCTTGAACTCCTGGACTCAAGTGATCCACTCACCTCGGCCTCCCAACGTGCTAGGATTACAGCTGTGAGCCACTGCACCCGGCCTCTATATGTTTTTTCAAAGAGAGTAAAACCTGGTCCTTATTTCTGTCTGCCCACAGGGCTATCTTCCCCATACTCATCAAATTCAACAAGCTTCGGTTTTACTTCCAGCTTCATGAGTTCCTGCAAACCAGTACTCTCCCTCCCCAAATGGCAAATCCACTTTGCTTCCTCGGTAGCTTCACAGAATGGGGAAAAGGAGCAAGAGCAGATGAAAGTGAGGATTTGGCAAGGGTCAGGGTTGGGCCTGGGACAGGGAGTGGGAAAGGAGACTTTCCAGAGCTGCAAAAAGCAAGAGCAAGCAAGAAGGAGCCAGCCAGTTGCAGAAAGTGAGATCTGGAAAGAAAGTATGTTAAAAGGCAAAGGAACTCACGAAAGAACTGGTTGTTGATGAAGTCGATGTTACACGCAGCCTTGCCATCTTGTAAAAAGGGTTTTATTTGTCCTTTTTTGTGAGAGTCCTGGGAGAGAACCATTAAAGAAACAGACCCCGGGCAGTCAGCGCAGATCTGGATACATGTGTGTGCCTGTATGTGGGCTTGCCTGGCCCCCCTCTGGCACCCACCCCCACTTTTTACAAGGGCCAACTGGGTTGCAAGGTTAAAGCCAGAGGGGACCAATTGGTGTTGTGGGGCTTTTTTACAAAGTGCAAAGGATCAAAGTAATTAGCAAAGGGCGAGAGACCAGGCCTGTTAGAGAAAGAAGCCAGCCACCCAATGCTTTCTGCACACACGTCTTGTCTTCCCCAGGCCTGCTGTTAATGCCTGCACGGATCATGGCTGAATGGCACATGGCAGCGTGCAGAGTGCTGGAGGGGGCTCCTTTGCTCTCAGGCAGGAAGTAAACCTGGAAGGGCCAACTCTGAGCTTAGAGAGTTTTGTGGGATCTTCAGGCAGCCCAGAAGGAAGAAGAGAACTTCTTGGGGAGTCTTTCTGAGACATTTCATTGCTTCCTTCCTGTTTTAGATGGAGGCTCAATGCCTGGCCAGACCCAGACCTGGAGACCAGGATAAGGAAATAATGCCTTCCACTGAGGCCATCTAAAGCTTATCAGCTGTGATTATGGCAGGGCAAGATGTAAGAGAGAGCAAGGAATTTTCCAGGAATGATTTTAGGTGGTTCATAGACAGGACTTTAAATTATATAGAGTCATTCAGTGAGCTGATTGTTTGCTTTCTTTCTCCCTCCACCTCCCCTCTTCTCTCTTTGTAATTCTACCAAGGCCATCTCAGTTTGCTGCTAATGTGCTGTGGCAGGCAGATTAACAGCCCCCAAAGATACTCACACCTGTGAAGATATTCCATACCTGGCAAAGGGGCTTTGCAGGTGTGAGTAAGGTCAAGGCCCTAGGTGAGGGAGATTAAACCAGATTATCCATGTGAGACCAATGTAGTCACGTGAGAACCTCTCCTTGCTGCAGAGAACCAGAAAGATGGCAGCATGACAAGGACTGAAGGATCTATTGCTGGTTCTGAGAGGTGGGGGGCCCTGCATGAAGACCAGAGAGAGGCCTCCTGGAGGTAAGAGCGCCCCCCAGCTGACAACCAGCAAGGGAATGGAGACCTCAGCTCTGTAACCCAAGGGCCTTCAGAAGTGAACAGAGACCAGCCGTGCCGAAACTTCTGACCTACGGGTCTGTAATATAATATTTCGTTTTCAATGGCTAAATTTGTGGTAGTTAATGCTTACTCCCTCCTTTGCCAGAGAGAGAGAGAGAATATCCTCCTGAAAGTTTCAGGAAGGCCACAATACCAAGCTGAGATTACTAGTACCATTGTAAGGTTTTCATTACATTTATTGGTAGGTTTCATTTCTATTTGTGGTCAGTGGTAATGGTTTTCTATTTATGTTGGTGACTTCAGTTTTCTTCTTTTGGGGTGAATGTATTTTGGTAAAGAAAATAAGTTGGGTTTAAAGAAAAAATGTTAGTAAGTAGTCATGCAGATTTTATGAATTGATAAATGGTATTTAAATACCTAAAATTTAGGAAATACTGATCTAGAGTTTTCTGGAGGGCCCCTTTGGAATTCAGAAAATGGGACAGACAGCTCTGCATATGATTTGCATGTATTTGCATTCATCATATTGAGCCTTACACACCAGGGTGAGGGAGAGGCAGGGCCAGATGGCCTAGGTGCTCTGTCACTGGCTGTGATGAGGAATCACTAATTTCTCAGCTGGCCTTTGGTATTGGACCAATTGCATAAAACAGGAAGAAAAAAGTATTCATGGCAGCCAAACAGGTAAGGCTTTGTACCATAGAGAATAACAACCAGACTTCGGAACCAAACAGAATTGCCTTTGAATCCTGGCTCTTCTCCTTAAAACTGTGTGATTTGGGACAAAGAGTTTGACCTCTGTGAGCCTCAGTTTCCTTATCTGTAAAAAGGAAACTAATAAGAAAGGCTGCACTGGGATGAAGTGAAGATTAAACAGGGTCCTATTTGTAAAGAGTGCAGCCCTGTTCCTAACGCGCAGTAAACAATGCAATTCGTTACTGTTATTATTATTCTCAGCTGCCCAGCGGTGGTCAGCCCATTCGTTTATTGCTTGTGGTGTCTGCCTCCAGCATTGGAGGACTGCCCTGTGGGGCGTTCTGGGCAAGACTGGGACAGACAGTGTCCAGGCACACCAGGCCTGGGCTGGTCTCTGTCATGCTGACATGCAGAGGAAAGCAGAAAGAAAGGAATCCCACAGAGCTGTGCGTAGCTGGGTGGCCAAGCCTGCCTGCAGACCTTCTTTCTTCCCTATGTAGAGGCTCTGGCCCATTTCAAGAATGGAAACTGAAGAGAGAGCATGCCTTGGCTGGGAACAGAGCGACGGCAAGCTTCCCAGCCCTGACCAGGGACATAGCATATTGAGGCACCCGTGCCTGGAGTTAACAAGAGAGCAAAAGAAGGCGGACAAAGGAAGGGACTCTTTCTATCTCTGTTGCATCACCTGTGCTTAAAAGTGGGGCTTTAGGGATCAGACAGACTTGGGTTGCCTCTGCCAGTTACTTCTGTGTGGCTTTGAACAAGTGACTTCCCCTTTCTGATAATAACATAGCTAACATTTGTTAAGCCCTGACTTTGTGCCAGCCTCTATTCTAAACACTACACAAGTATTAGATAACCTCCACGGCAACCCTAGGAGAAAGACATGCTTATTATTTCCATTTTACAGATGAAAAGATTGAGGCACAGAGAGGTTATTCAACTAGCTCAAAGTCACGCAGCTAATACATGGCAGATCCAAGATTCAATTCAAGGCAGTCAGGATCCAGAGCCTATACTTTGCTAGTATATGGTGATTAATTATTTTTAAGACTTTCCTATTTATTAAGTACTCCTGAATCTTTAAGGGCTATGTTTTCTTAACCCCATTTATCAGATTCTGAAAGTAATTATTAGACTCTGAGGTTCAACAAACATACCTACTGGGTAAGAAAACTGGGATACTGATATAGTTTGGCTGTGTCCACACCCAAGTCTCATCTTGAATTGTCGTTCCCATAATAGCACATGTCATAGGAGGAACCCAGAGGAAGGTAATTTAATCATGGGGGTGGCTACCATCATGCTGTTCTCATGATAGTGAGCTCTCACGAGATCTATTGGTTTTATAAGGGGCTTCCCCGCTTTTGCTCGGCACTTCTACTTGCTGCCGCCATGTGAAGAAGGATGTTCTGCTTCCCCTTCCGCTATGATTGTAAGTTTCCTGAGACCTCCCCAGCTATGCAGAACTGTGAGTCAATTAAACCTCTTTCCTTTGTAAATTACCCAGTCTCAGGTATGTCTTTATTAGCAGTGTGAGAATGGACTAATACAGATACAAACCCAGGTATCCTGATCTACAGTCAGAGCATTTCTCTCTCTCCCTTCCTCTGTTCTTCCTTCCCTCATATTTTCCTTCCTTTCTTCTCTTCCTTCCTTTTTCCTTTAATCTCTCCTTCCTTTGTTCATTCAACCAGCAAACACTTACTCATTGCCTACTGCATGCCAGATATTGTGCATACATTATCTTCCTACTGTTGTACCTTCTTTGCTCTGTTCCGTATGTTGGCCATTGTTATGGTCTTAATACTCTCAGTTACCACCACCTCTTTGCTCAGGAAGCCAATCCCTTCCAGAACAGAACCTCAAATAAACAAAGGCTGCTGGACGAGCTCCCTCAGTCATCTGTGACCATGTCAGAAACCAGGGCTCTACTCTGAGCTGCAATCTTGACCAAGAAGTAGAGGCAGGAGTAGACACTGCTCCAAGAAGAACTTGCTGAGGCCCACGCTGTTCCCAAACACCTGCCAGATTTCCAGGGATCTTCAGCTTCAGAGTTCTGGGCTTGTGTGCTGTTTTAAAAGAAATCCAATAGACACAGAGCCAAGAAGGAGGCTGCAGGACAGGGGCTACAGTCCCAGACAGGGGAGGGGCAGGACAAAGGCTGTCCCCAGAGCAAGTTTTGCCAATAAATATCTGAGAGGGAGGAGGGCTTGGCATTTGGGGCCTGTTAAGCAGAGGCCAGTGGCTGCAAGCCTGGGACAGCCTGTAGATTTATCAAGGTCTGCAGGGCAAAACGGCGAAGTCAGCAGCAGCATGCTCTGTATCCGCACCCTCTCCCAGTGTGCACCCCGCTGCATCTTTCCCACCTGAGACTCTGTAGCTCTGGGCCTCTAAGCCCCTCCCTTTAAAAGAAAAGCAGCTGAAGAATTTGAGGCAATATGGAAGGTGTGATGGATGAATTGCGCTCAACCACTTAATTCAAAGAGGGATTTGGGGCTTGATATTTAAGCCCGTAAGCCTCAGTTTTTTCACCTGCAAAATGAAAATGCCAGTGGCATGTTCCTCCTGTTTACTGATAAGTGTCTTCAAAGAGGACTCCATGTTTCATTTTGTTGGCCTCCACATGCTCCTCTCACCCCCTCTGCCTTTCTCAGATGTGGTTTCCCCAGACCACCTGATCTTCACATCCGCTGACTTTTCTCCAGACCTTAGTCTCCTCTCTCTCACTTCTTTTTCATAATTTGCCTCTCCTGAAACACCCTAATCCTCCATGGCTGTGCTCCACCTTTGGAGCCATTCTGCTTCCATATTTCTTCTGTCCCCCATTACCATCAAAATGTGGGCATCTCATGGCATTTTATTGTCTTTGAGCAAGCTGTTCTTTCCAACTGGAATGCTTCTCATTCCAAATTGTTGCCTTCCTAAATTCAAACTTTTGCTTGGCCTTCAAGGGCCCGATGAAATAATTTTTCTTGCGTGAAGATTCCTTTGGTTCTGTCTGTCCTGTGGTTTCATGGCACCTTCTCTGCTACCTATCAGTAATGACCCCAACAGTGACCACCACCAGTAAGATTAACGGCAGGTGCCTTCTGCACAATGCATGGCCTTGGGTGTTAATTATTATTAAATGATGGTTTGGTTGCATAGCCCCCTGTGTCTATACTCTTGCAACTTTGTCTTCTGCTCTGACTCTGGACTAAACCATGTGAACTGCTTTTACCAGTTGGATACTAGCAAACTTGATGTGAGTAGAAGCTTGAAAAAACCACTCAGGTGTTTCCATGCACTCTCTTTTACCTCTGTGACTGCCACAAGAACAGGCTTGGGCTGACCTGCTGAGGTCTACAGCAGGTATTTGTCTTCTCTCTATGGAAGAGAGCTAGTTATTATAGCCAAGACCATCAAAGATTGGCAAACAGTCATTTGACTGCATGACATGTGGGTGAGTTTCAAATGAGACCAGAAAAACCACACAGCATGCCCAGCCAAGACCAGCAGAAATATGCAACTGACTCCAGGACTCTTGAGTGATAATAAATGGCTACCTTTTAGGATTGTTCGTTATGCAGCTACAGCTAACTGATACAATAATCACCACTTTTGTTATTGCTAAGTATTTCCTGTGCCTGCAAATTCCACTAAATTCTTTATAAACATCTAATCATTTGGTTCTCATCTAAATTAATATACTGTTACCATTATAAAGATGAGGAAACTGAGGTTCAGAGAGCTTGTCACTGCTCCAAACCAATGTGACTAGAAAATGGCTCAGTACCTTTGCTACGAGTCTTGTCCTGGCTTTTCTACTTTCTAGGTGTGTGACCTGGACAGGTCTCTTTTACTTTTTTGCCTCAGTTTCCTAACCTATAAGATAAAATGATAATTGTTGCTATGGTTATGAAATTGTTTTATTAGATGGATATAATGCTTCTAAGTTGGAAAGATCAGTGCCTGGCACACAGTAAGCACACAAGAAAATGGTAAATACTCTGTTTCTTTCTCTTCCTTGTTCTCGTTGCCTGATGACCTGGTGTTTTCATAGTTGTCATCTCCTATGTAGGTGAAGCCTCCTTGAAAACTGAGTCCACATCTAGCTCTTCTACCTCCCCATTACAGCACCTTGCCCAGAGTAGCTGCTTAGCAAATACTTATCAAAAAGCTATTTTGATTCATTTAGCTGGAAAAGAAGAGTGAAGTTAGTGTCCTTTGAAGAGCAAGAGGACAAGAGGACATGAGGGAGAATGATGAGAGATAGCTGTAGTAGGAAAACTTTAAGTTAGTCTCAGGAAAGAACATCTAGGGAGGGTAGAGAAACTGCAGATGTTCCCTGTTGCCCCAAGGAGATGTCCTTCCTTTCTCTAGAGCTCTCTGAGCAAGTTTATATTCTTTAACTAGGCATAATTTTAAATATGTTTGGAGACAAGGGGATGGTGCTTAGAAGGGTGACCTTTCGATGCCCTTGCCAGCCCCAAGATCCTTCTGAGGCTTGAGGGAAAAGCAGACAGCTTTCCTGCTTTCTCCCTTCCACTATTTTTCTTTGCAGCTGTCTCTGCATTTCAGAGCTCACATCTCTGCCAGGGACTCTATTTTGGGATTTGTGGGAACAGGCGGGTTTCAGCAAATAGGAAGCTCTAGAAATCTCAGCAGGCTTCTCCCTGTGGGCCTCCCAGCCCACTCTGAGGGCAAAGGAGAATCAAAGAGGCTGCTTTAGGGCCCAGCGTCTGGGGCTTTTGCAGGGCAGAGGGCAGAATCTCTTTTCCCAGCAACCCCCTCCCCCCACGACAGCTGGGAGCAACCCTCACCTCTGCTTCAATCTGTACTCTTCCAGGCTGGCTGCCTGTACTCTGCCTGCCAACGTGGGGCTGTGGGGGCAGCATCCCTCACAAGTCTGCAGATGTGGACCTGGGCTTTTGTGAAAACCAACACCCAGTTCCTGCCATATCCCCAGGCTCTTTCCACAGGAGAGAAGTGGCAGGAAGGAACGCAGCCCTGACACTCAAAGGAACTCGGGGCATCCTGCCTGTTCGTGTCCACACGTAGGTAGGCAGGTTTATAATCAAGCATGCAGGCTTGTGTGTCTGTGTGTTTATGTGAATATCTGCAGGTCTGTATTTGTAACGGTGCATGGCTGTGTGTCCCCATGGGTGTGCTTGCATGTAATGGGCCATGTCTGTGTTTTCACAGAAATGAGTGTGAATCTGTTGATCTCCATGTGTATATGTCTGTATTGTATTTATGTGTCTGTTGTCACCAACAGACATTTGGAGGCCATTATCTTTTCACTTTTAATTCACTCCATTTGCATCAGTAATATTTGTTCATTGAAAAAACAAGAAATAGTAGAGAAGCAACATACATATATATGTATATAAAAGCCAGAGATCACAGTCACAACATATATACATATATGGTTATATACAATATAATATAAATGCAATAAATTTAACATGATATAATTAACGTAATATAATATCTAATATATGAACAATAATATATAATTTATACAAACTTTGGTGCATGAACCCACCACCCAGAGATAAGGAATGTTAATGTGTTGGGTATTTTTTTTCTAGTCTTTTCCCATTCAAATAGTTGTTCTAAAAATGTAAGCTTTATAAGAGCAAAAATGGTGTTAGTACTAGTGACTACTGTTAATTTTTATCAGGCAAACATATAAATATAGTTATATACATATAAATATATATACATTAATGTATGTACATATAAATATAGTTATACATTATGCATTCACTCATATACTTATATACATGACTATACATATTCATATATATACATGAATATACATGTAGAGCTCTCTGAGCATATATATATACATGAATATATGTATATATACACCTGAATATATATATAATATAATATATATATTCATGGGTATAAGTATATATGAGTGAATGCATAATGAACATATTACATAAATATGTATTACAAATTAGTGAATGTTTGAATATACAATCATATGTCACTTAACAACAAGGATGCCTTCTGAGAATTGAGTCCTTAGGCAATTTCATCCCTGTGCGAACATCATAGACTACTTTCTTTCTTTTTCTTCTTTTTTTTTTTCAGACAGAGTTTTCCTCTGTTGCCCAGGCTGGAATGCAATGGTGTGATCTCTACTCACTGCAACCTCCACCTCCCAGGCTCAAGAGATTCTCGTGCCTCAGCCTCCCGAGTAGCTAGGCACACAGGCATGTGCCACCTCACCTGGCTAATTTTTGTATTTTTAGTAGAGACGGGGTTTCACCATGTTGTCCAGGCTGGTCTCAAACTGCTGACCTCAGGTAATCTGGCCACCTTGGCCCCCCAAAGTGCTGGGATTACAGGTATGAGCCACCATGCCTGGCTGACTGTACTTTCACTAGATGGCACAGACTACTACACACCCAGGCTGTATGGTGTAGCATATTGCTCCTAGGCTACAAACCCATACAGCATGTTATTGTACTGAATTCTTTAGGCAATTGTAACACAATGGTAGGTATTTGTGGATCTAAACTTATCAAAATACAGAAAAGATACAGTAAGAATACAGATTACAGTCTTATGGGACCACTGTTGTGGTCCCATATGCAGTCCGTCATTGACAGAAACATCACTAGGCAGTAAACATCATTAGGAAGTGCATGATGGTATAGTAAACACACAAACCAGTAGCATAGCCATTTATTATGAAGTATTATGCACTGTACATAATTGTATGTGCTATGCTTTTATCTGACCGGCAGTGCAGTAGGTTTATTTACATCAGCACCACCCCAAGTGTGAGTAATGTGCTATTGAATATTTAGATCATTTATGTTCATTGCCAACACGATTGCAAAAAGCATCCTTTTAGCCAAAGTTGTATGCACATTTCTTTGCATAAATGAAGAGAAGTTACCAGGCCAAAGGGTGTTAATGTGTTGTTGACTTTTGATAGCCAGTTGAGCTGGACACACAGTAGGCACTCAATAAATTATTGTGGAATGAATAAATGGGCAATTTGAGCACCAGCTCTAGAAACACACCATCCCACTCAGACTTTCTCTCCTGCTAGCAATCAAAATCTCAAATGCAGTCATGGGACTTAGGGAAGAAGAGCATGGGATAGCCCACTGAAAACCACCTTCTACTGATGCTGAGGGGAGAGTCCACTCTGAAAAGTGTGTTCCCTCTCCACCACCTGCTGCTCAGCTCCATCCATGCAGGAAGAACAGAGGCAGGACTCCAGGTGTGGCTGCTGGCTCCCACGCCATCCACCAAAGGTTTCCTAATGAGCTAATAGCCCTAATGTGTGAACATTGATTTCTGGGGTGACGGAAAAGCCGGGATGATTTACATTCAATTTCCCATTGATGATGCACCATTGGTCTCCATGAGCACTAAAATATTTACTAGGGAACAACAGGACTGGAGGGGTCCTGGTCATGGGAAGTGAGCATGTGCCCAGTGGGTGAGAGATTCGGGAAATGATTTTTGCCTGAGGGTCAGGAGGAAGGTAAATGTGGCCTGGAAACATTCTGGAGCCGGGGAAACCCCACTGGGCTCCAGGCCAGAGAGGGGAAGGCTTACTTGAGCCTGAGTGTTTCTTTCAGTTCTTGCAGTTGTCACCAAATGGCGCCTCCTCAAAGATGCCTTCTAAGACCACCCCATCTAAAATGTCCCCCAGTCACTCAGGGTCATATTATGCTACTGTCTCCCTCTTTTTGAGTTATTAAGGTTTTATTTATATACAGTAAAACTCATCTATTTTAACTGTGCCACTGGATGGATTTAGGCACTGTCTCACAATCCTGTAACCAAGAACATCACCACCTCCACAATAGAGATAGAAATAGTGTCCTCGGCCAGGCGCGGTGGCTCACGCCTGTAATCCCAGCACTTTGGGAGGCCGAGATGGGCGGATCACAAGGTCAGAAGATCGAGACCATCCTGGCTAACGTGGTGAAACCCCGTCTCTACTAAAAATACAAAAAATTAGCCGGGCATGTTGGCGGGTGCCTGTAGTTCCAGCTACTTGGGAGGCTGAGGCAGGAGAATGGCATGAACCCAGGAGGCAGAGCTTGCAGTGAGCTGAGATCACGCCACTGCACTCCAGCCTGGGTGACAGAGTGAGACTCCATCTCAAGAAAAAAAAAAAAAAAAAAAAAAGAAATAAAGAAATAGTGTCCTCACCCTAAAAGGTTCCTCCTGACCCACCACCCCCTGCCTCCGGCAACTACCAATCTGCTTTCTGACAAAATGGTTTTGGTTCTTCTACAGTTTCATATAAATGGAATCATACAGTATGTTATCCTTCATGTCTGACCTTTCCCCCTTAGCATGATGGTTTTGAGATGCATGCATGTGATTAGGGCTTAGGGCTAGGGTTAGAGTTGGATTGTGTGTTTGCTTCAGGTTATCGCTGAGTGGTATTCCATGTTATGGATACATACGATCTGTTTAGCCATTCATTACTGGATGGGCACAGAGAGGTAATGGTTCTCATTCAAGGGCACACAGCTTACAAGTGAGGGAGCTGAACTTGGTACCCAGTTCTGTCTGAATCCAAAGCCTGACTGTGATGTCTTTAGGGAATTCAGCATCTCTAACAAGCAGAGCTTATTGGGAGGGTGAAATGAGAGGTTACACTCCAGTCGTTTCCATTTGTTGAGTGGCTGGCCTTGTGCTGAAGATGTTTTACTGGTTCTCCTCACAAGAGCCCAACAGACACATCCTACAGTTCACATGTGAGGCCAGGAAAGTATCTTTCCCATGTTCACAGAGCCTATGAGTGACAGAGCCAGAATCTGAACGCTTATCTGATTCTCCACCCCCATCCCCCATTTCTCCCATGCACCATGGCCTTCCAACAAATGGAGGACTCCTACCCCGCCCAGTTGGTTTCCCTCTCCTGGCCCATGCTGCCACATTTTAGGAAGCTGAGTCAGCTGCTCTCAGAGTCCATCATGGAAGGACACAGCCCATCCACATCAGGCAAGGGACAAATGAAGTCCCACCAGCCCTACCCAAAAAGTTGGCTATCCCCAGCCAGCTCCTGTCCCATGAGGGTGCAGTGCATCCACTCGTGGAAAGGGCCTGTCACCCAATGCAAGGTCCACACTCAGCTGGGCCGAGGCCTTGGATGTGCAATTGGTAACTTCTCGTTTCCAATTCATGGGTGGCTCTAGGGTCTGAGGTCAGGCTCTCCAGGCGCCTTATTGCCAGACTGTCTGTCTCTGCATCAGCAGGCTGTGGCAAATCATACACACACACACACACACACACACACATTTCCCTGTGCAAAATCAACCTCACCACTACTTTTTATTACATAAACACACACACAAACACATCTATGGGTCCGTATACCACTCACACATACTCCTACACAATACATCTATAAGTGCATTTGCACCGATACACATATGCCCACACAACACAGCTTGAGGTACACATGTACATCCAAGTAGCAAATACATACTCCCACATAATGCACATGTGTGCACAAGCACACTACCTAGAGTCATGGAGCGTGGCATAGAAACACAGATGAAGACATCTCACATACCTATATATTTATCCAAACAAACATTTCCAGACATGTATCCAATCACACACATTTACAGCCATACAAAATTGCTCACATATTTTTCACATACACATATAAGTTGACACACTTGTGTCTGTGTATGTAAAAACTCTCATACATCTGCACTTGCACAGATAGACATACATGCCTATATGTACCTATATGCATGCATGTTTACACACATTCACACTCAAGCATACATGCAACTTGGTCCATACATATTTGTGTTATATATAAGAATGCATATATGCACAGTCCCTGCATGCAGTGTTGAGTATAAAATGCAAATATGTCTGCCAACATGGACCCTGACACAGAAACTTGCACACATATCCACATCCATATGCACATACATACACATGCATACCTAAGCATGCCACAGACATGCACAACCAGGTACATCTACACATGTGGAACCATATGTACACATGTGTATAACTGTGCATAATATATACATCTCCCATCCGAACATGTACAGAGGCTATGTTACAGCTGATATGTCCTCTGTCTCATTCTCTTCTTTGGCCACAAATTTTGGAGTTCTTCAACTTGGTTTGCCCAACCCAGAATTTTTCAGACCTAATCTTCTCCCTATACATAGTCCCTACTGAAACTCTCATTTCCTGCTTGGAATATCCTAGGGAAATGCCCCATCATGACACACTTAATTTTTTGAAGACATTTGATACTCTTTGGAGACACACAGAGGCCGTGGTGTATCCGTTGGAGATCCTAAGGGACCACAGTCTGGTGAGGTCTTAAGGTTGTTGACATCCACTCAGCAGCCTCCAATGAGATGGATACACGTTTTATTTATTTGCAGGCAAAATCACACCTCCTCTAGGAGCTGTTCCTCCCCTAGTAGGAAATGCTTTCTCTTTCTCTCTTCGTACACTGCGCATTATTTATACCTTTGCTTTAAAGGTCAGTTTCTTTGCCTTGTTTTAGTGTTTTCTGGAGTTTTTGAGCTCCCAGAGGATAGAAAACATGTCTAACTTGCTTTGTTTTCAGCACAACTGGTGCTGGTGATACCCAGTGCTTGTAGGTGTTCAATAAAAGAAAATTGAAATAACTGCTGCTTTGACACCGCAATGCATGAGCTTAGATTGGTGACCAGATGTCAGTCAACACTTGATTGAGCAGGCTGGCCAATGAGCATCTTCCAGGAGACTCTAAACTACCTGCAGTGTGTGTGGGGCTTAGGATCATGGGTGAATAAGATGGTGCATGCCAAATGCTTCATAAAAATACAGAGTGGCATTATTATCTGTTTGCTTCGGCAATGTTCATCATCTCCTTCCCCTCTCCACCGGCCCAGACAAAAGAAAAACACAAAAGAAAAGCCCAGCACCCACAACGTATTAGTGGAAAACAGGCCCAGCATTAGGTAGGCCGTGTTAAATTAGCAGAGTTGGGATTTGAAGCCCATGCTTGTAGGTAGGTAGGCCTGTCTGGCTCTCTCCTTCTCCTTTTCCTCCTCTTTACCACTCCCCCAGTGAAATATTGCCAGCAAATAAAATTATAGAGAAAAATGTAAGGGCACCATGTATTCCAAACCCAGATTCATTACATTTATCTTTCATTTGTTTGGCAAATAGTTATTAAGCACCTTCTATGTGCTAGGCTTTGTTCTAGGCCTTGAGGATATAGTGAACAAAACAGATGGTGCTGGCTTCATGGAACTTCCATTTTATCATATTTGCTTTAGTGTGATTCTTGTTGTTTGTTTTAAGAACTACGTCATTACTAAAATAATAGAAGCTTATTGTGTATCCCTTTCTTCCCCCATTTCCCTCTCTCCAAGTAGAACATAAACACCACCCCAATATTTGCAATTATTTTTCCATAAGTTTTCATTCCTTTATCTCACATTTATTTATTAGCAATGCATAGCATTGCTGTGTGTTTTTAAACTTTTTATATATGTATCATTATATACATATATAAAAAGGACATGATGTATATATATACACACATATATATATAATGTCCTTTATCAACAACTATATGTGTGTATTTCTCAACAACAACTTTTTCACTCATTATTTTGTTCTCCAGGGATCTGTGTTGATGCAGATAGCACTGTTGTCTCACTGTTGTACAGTATTTCATTATCTGATGTCATGATAGTGGATTTAATCACTCCCTTCGTCATGGACCTCAAGGTTGTTTACCCAGTTCCCTTCGTCTAACAATGCTGCAGTGAACATCACTATGTATGTCTACTGGGCCATGTATCTGAGGATCTAGTGCCTACCTACCTACAAGCATGTTTGTTGGATGGTGGGATATGCATGCCTTAGCTTTACATGACAGTTCTAAGTTGCATCTCAAGTTGGGTTCACATCAACTTACTCTGACAGTAGCAGAGTCTGAGACCGGCTCTCCGTTGCTCAGCAAAGCCCGTTTTTTCAATTTCTGCCAAGCCGAGGGCTATGGGAAAAATAATCTCTCCTTTTGGTTATAACTGGCACTTCTTTGACTATCAACAAGGATGGATATCTTTACTTACACTTATTGGCCATTTGGATTTCCTTTTGCTGTGAAATGCCTGTTCTTATCTTTGTTCCATAGTTAAAAATTGGTTTATTTATCATTAGGGTTGGGCTCCTGACCACTTCTCCAACTGTGGAAAAGAAATGAGCTTGATAAGGGGAGTCAGAGGTACAGCCCTCCTTCCTCCAAGGGCTGAAAAAGCAGCCCTTATTGACTGGCTTCTATCACTCATCTCATTAAAGGTACCACTTACTTCCAAATGCTTAGAGCTGGGGCTGGGAGCCATTCATAAAACTCATATTGAACGATCGGCTTTCACAAAGTTTGCCTTAATGTTTTTTGCGCGGTATTGATCTGTGGGGGGGAACTATAAAAATTGACACCAGAATAAACTTTGAACGACGGCTCTCACTCAGCCGAACTGGGATCAATGCAAATCGACCGAGGCAAGGAGGGAGGGGAGGAAACAACCCCTTCTCCATTAGCCGGTCTCTGCTTGACCAGCAAAACTCATCTGGATCTTTCCTGGCCCCACTTAGGCTCTCAAATGCAGATACAATGAGGTTTAGGGTAAGTTCTGAGGTGGAGAACAAACCTCTCATCTTGGGATAAGGGGATCCTAAAAGCTTAGTTATCAGCACTTGAGACATTTGATTTGCCCTTAGAAGTCTCTCTTCCTCTATGTGGTGCTAGTTATGGGTGAGGGAACCAAGGAGGAGCAGAGGGGAGTAAGTGTTTATTGAGCACTTACTATGTCCCAGGTGTTGGGGAGGGGCATTCTGCAAATACTTGGGAGGCAGGGTAGGGTTGGCTCCACTAATACCTGGCTGATGATCTCAAACGAGTGACTCAACCTTTCTGAACTTCCAGTTACTTCTGCAAAATGCTGATTATTATAACACCCTCCTTACCAGATTTCTTCTACTTTTCACTGAAAAGTAGAGTACTGGCTCCTAAAGCAGAGTATGAACACGTAAAAATTTTGCTATTCCCTCAAGCAATCCTAACTGCAACCCTGCAATTTGAACAGTCACCTCCGCGTTGAAGAAGCACAGACTGAAGCTCAGAGAGGTTAAGTGATTTGTCCAAGATCACACAGCTAGTAAATGATAGGATTTTAACTCAAGGCTCTCCAACTCCCAAGCCCAAGCTCATTATCTGAGAGCATATCACTAATTATAAATCATAAGTCGAGGGCAGAGGGTAGGAGCAGGATGGCTCTCAGATCAATTTCCACGGTGCGTGTGAATTGTGGGTGGCTCGAGGCCTTCTCTGGTGCAGTTAGATGCTCCTTTCTGCATTCCATCACCCTGACATGATCATCGTTAGCCAATCCTGGGAGCATCACCTCCAAGTGACCACAGGCAGAGGGCACTGCATTTACAAAAGCTTAGAAGTCCATCTGGAATAGGTGGGAACTGCTGGGATGCAATGTGAGAGGTAGGGGTAGAGAAATAAAGGCTTTCCATCCATTGATTCACTCCAAGCATACTCACTGAGGACCTACTGTGTGGGGCACAGGGCTAGGGGCCGAGGACATAATGTTGAACATTGCTGACATAATAAAATGTGGGCAAACAGATGAAGGTGACAATGCAGGGTAGTGATGAGCTATAATTGGGGGCCAGGCAGGGAGGATATGGGAGCATAGGAAAGGGTTCCTCAGCCTGAACTTGGAGCGCTGGGGAAACCTTCCCAGAAGAAGGTACATCTCAGTTGAACTTAGAATGACTCACAGAATGTCTTAAGGTACAGAATCCGAGGTACCTCCTCTAGGGATGCTGGTTCAGTACAGGGAGAGTGGGGGAAAAGAACCTGTCCCCAAGTGGCGCTAACAGCCAGGATGGGCAACTTCTAGGCTAGATGAACTCTTAAGATAGTGGTTCTCAATGCTGGCTGTGTATTAGCATCATATGGGAAGCTTTGAAGAAATTCCAGTAGTGGCCATGCCTGTCTCCATATCACCAGAACCAGAGTCAGCAGACGGTGGGTGGAGGGTGGCCTGGACATCAATGTTTTGTACAAAAGTTTCCCAGTTGATTAAGACTCATTGCTTTGGGAGGACCACGTAATGTTTGGACAAGCAAATAAGTAGGGGGAAAGTCAGGCTGCCCTGAAGTTTCTTTGTCTGGGTAAGAAAGTTAATTGCGTGCCTTAGGTGCTTAGTGCATACCAGCCCCTTTCCCAGCCACCAGCTAGTCGGCTGCATCTTTCCAACACCTAGATGTTGCTTTTCATCCTAGTTGCCTAGATGCAGCTCCTGAGATTCAGATAGGTTGAATTCAGACCCCCAAGCCATGCAGCTGGCCAGCAGCAGAGGTTAATCCCACCCAGGGCATCCCTTTGAAGATGCCTGGATATGCATAGCCGCAAAGGCTTAAAAAACATCATGGAGAAAGCGAGAAGTGGGCAATGACTTCACTAAAAGTATTTCTGGGCCACTGGCCAAGTATGGCAATGAGTCTCTTGCTCTTGAAATACAGGGTGGCCTGGAGGAAGCTGGGGGAAGCCAGGGGGTGAGGAGGGTACTTCCTGGGTGCCAATGGATACCATCTGAGCTGCAAAGCCCTGCAGTGACGAGCAGCATTTATTCTGCCCACCTCTCGCACCAGAAAAGTTATGACTGCTTCCAGTTCTAAGACTTCAAAATATAGCACAAAAATCAGCCTCCACTGCTTCCCCTCACTCTTTCTCCTGATTTATTTATTTATTTAATTTATTTATTTCCCTTTTCTCTTGTGCCCATGAAGTTTGCCTCCCTTCAAATATCCTTGTTTGTTAGAAGTGATTCCAAGGCTGGGAGAAAAACCTCACCTCAGGCTGGTCATTACTTACTGGGGAGAGTCAGAAGCTGAAAGTTCCTCCTACCCCACACCATAAATAAACTGTCTCCTTCTTCAACCCACAAATCATTCCAGATTTTTGGAGTAAATAGTAATAGCTGTGTTTTCCCCCATGGGCATAGCTGAGGGTGTATTGTATGTGCATGTATGTGTTCAATCTAATTTAATTCTTTTTTTTTTTCTAGCCTTGTGAAAGCACCTTTGGCTCCACCCTCCACTTCTGAGCACTCTTTTGAAGGGATTAGCACTCCCAGACTCTGGACTCGGGGGCTTGGAAAAGCTCTATAGGTTTGAGATTTACTGTGGCTCCAGGGAGCTGAGAGATAGGCCAGCCTGAGTCAGGGCCGGAAGAATGTTCTTCTATTGTTCTGTCTGGGGGACAGGCACTCTGGCAGTCATAGTATCTTTCACTCTATTCGCTTTCACTGCACTGGCTCTGGTTTGCGAGGTGTCCCCAGCAGCCTCCTGCATGGTGCCCATCACTCACTCCACACTGTCCTCCCTGTAATCTGTCTTCTGTGCCAGCCATCCTTGAAGTGACCTTCCTTTTTTTGTTGTTGTTTGAGACAGAGTCTCACTCTGTTGCCTAGGCTGGAGTGCAGTGGCCTAATCTTGGCTCACTGCAACATCTGCCTCCTGGGTTCAAGCAATTCTCCTGCCTCAGCCTCCCGAGAAGCTGGGATTACAGGTGATCGCCACCACGCCTGGCTAATTTTTGTATCTTTAGTAGTGACGGGCTTTTGCCATGTTGGCCAGGCTGGTCTCAAACTCCTGACCTCAAGTGATCTGCCTGCCTCGGCCTCCCAAAGTGCTGGAATTACAGGCGTGAGCCACCACTCCCAGCCTGAAGTGGCCCTTCTAAGCCTCTGATCTTATCATCATTGAGTGCTTTTCATCATCATGCTGGGTCCCTGCCGTAAAACCTCCCAGTGCCTTCTGGTCTTAGTTTGGGTTCTTCCACAAAGCAGACCCACAGGTAGGGATTTGGGTACAGTCAAGAGGCTGCATACCATGCTAGTTAAACACATGAATTTGGACTCAGATGTTCTGAGTTCAAATCCTGACTGTATGACTTGGAACCACGCTTTCCATATCTGTAGAGTGTGAACAACCAGCATATCTACCTTACAGGGTTACGGTAAGAATGAAGTGTGTGAATAAAGCATTCAGTGCTGAGCTGGCCACAGAAGGAAGGTTTTTATTATGGGATACATCCTGGCATAGCTTTCTGTTCACAAGGCCCACCTGCCACATTATAGTTGTTAGTCTCTTTGTGTGGCTTAGTCTGCATGCCCTAACCCCAAATTCCATGAGCATAGGCTTTATGCCTCACGTAGTTCTGTATCCCTCCCAGTGCCTAGCTCTGAGCTGAGCAAACAGACACTCATGATAGGTGGAAGGGAACCAGCAGGTACTGACCTCCTTCCTATGTAAACAACAGGCATTATCCTTATTTTGAAAATACATAAATAGAGACTTAGATGTTAGCTAACTCGACCAAGGTCACACAGCTTGAATTTAGAACATGTTTGAACTGACCAACTTCAACCTTAATGCATGATTTTTATTGCACTGAGCCACTTGCTCATGGTTTGACCCAGAAGAGAAAATACCAACCAAATATTAGAGATGACATTTTACCAACTGCTAGGACTAAGAGGTGATGAGAAAGAGCCCAGTGACCAAGGTGTGGGTGTATCCAGGAAAAGAAATAAACCTGTATGATCAAGGCGCCAGAATAGCTATCTTTATAGGTTATTTGATTGTAAGCAACAGAAACCTATTCTGGCTAACATAAGCCCAAAACGCTAGTATTGGAAGAATTGGAAGAAGTAGCTCACAAAATAGAAGAACCAGACGTCAGAGGGGTCAGGGAGCTGGTTGGACTTGGGATCTAAGTAGCAGTAAGTAATGTGATCAACCTGAATCACATGACAGCCTCTTAGCTCTAGGCAGTCAGGGTTTGAGTGACTGTCCCACGCAGACTGCATGTAACAACAGTGGGTGGGAACAAGTTTCAAAAAGGGAAATGAGCATGCTAAGACCAGAAAGAAAAGAAATAGATATTAGGTTGGCCAAAACAGCTGATGCCCTTTGCAGTGACAGTGTCAGCTAATTTTAGCAATATATATCATCTGCTGGGTTTTCTATGTGTTAGGCAGCATTGCTCTGTACAGTTTTGCAGATTGCATCCTGCCCAAGACCAGCTTGCTAAGGAGGCACAGAGGTGCTAAATCCCGGGCCAATCACTGCTTGCCAAATAGCTGTATTAACCCAGAGGAAGGGACGTCTTTCCTAACGTGCAGAAAAACACCAGGTATAAATCATCCTATTTAGTCCTCTCAACAATGCTGAAAGGTAGGTGTGGTAGATTAAAAATGGTCACAAATTCTTTGCTTCTCTTCCTGTTGAGGAGATAGCTAAATCCTTGGGGAATGGAGCTCATGCTACATGCATTGTTGAGAAGCAGAGACTAAACACCCTCCCCCCTGAATCTGGACTGGCCTTAACAACTCACTTGACCAACAGAATATGGTGGAACTAATGGCTGGAACTTCCAAAGCTAGGTCATAAGAAACCTTACTGCTTTTTTTCCCCTGGGTTTTCTGGTGCTATGAGACACCATGTATAAAGTTCAACTACTGTATTCTATTGATCCGTCACAGAGCTCAGATTTAAGAAGTCATAAACACATCACCTGTTAACCTAAGAGTGTCCAAACAATTTATGACCACCTTCAATCTACCAAATCGTTGGTTGAACTCATTCAACAAGCATTTGTTTGTTGAGCATCTGCTTTATACCAGACACTAACTTAGGCCCTGGGAATACAGTGGTGAACAAAACAGAAAAGTGATATGCTTCCATGGAACCCGTATTCTAGTGGGAGGCTGCATTCTAGCTTGAACAGATGGATCAATGAACTGGAAAGGAAAATGAAGAATGTCTATCTGGTCTCCAACTTTTGACCTGCTACATGTGTCCTATAAAATAATCTCACGATGTCACAAGATCCAATTTGCTCTTTCCAAGCCAATTTTCCACTCATTGATCATCTGCATTTAACTTTGAGGCAACAGCTGAGAAATTCTGAAATAGTAAGAGGAAGATTCTCCCTCTTACTTTCCATGGGCTGTCTGGCATGTCATAGGGCTCAGGGACTAGGTGCTGCCTGAAACTCTTGTGGCCGAGTCAGGTCCCCCATTAGCTCTGAGTTCTGGAAATTGACCAGAATTTACAAAGAAGGAGGGCATGGGGAGAATGAGGAAGCTAGAGTTGCATCATCCTGACTCAGGTCAGCCAGTGTCCACCTTGGCAATTGGCTGCAAGCTTTGGGATTGGCATGAGAAGGTTACGTTGACTGGGCCATCTAACCAGCAGCCTGAGGGCTGGGCCTGAGCAGCACCGAGGAATTTCACACATGGCGGTGCCAGCCTGGGTTCTGTTCTGGAATAACACATGCAAGTGACAGGGAAAACTCGTGAGTCATTGAGCTAATCTCAGCTCTTTTAAACTGGGTGCCTGGAAGATGAGCAAAGTTCTGACTTCAGCACCATCAAAGAGGTTATATGGCAAAGTCAACAGTTTCAACAGGGAGGAAAAGGCTGAATCACCCAGGCCATTGCTTTCCCCTTGCCTGAGTCAGGAGTAAAGGATTAAGTATTCTATTTTAGGGAGTTCCTAAGTGCTCCTGAGGAGAGCTTCCAATAGAGGTGAGTAGGTTCCTATTAACTCTGCAACACACCTTTCAAGCTAGAATCCATTTATTTTACATTTCCATTATTGGGCAACCAAATGCTATTTATGAGCTCCAACTCTGAGTGTCCACAGATATAATTTATGTCAATCACCTAGATTTGTTTTTCTAAAAATGTGCTCTGTAGAACATTAATTTTCTGGCACTCCTGATAGGTGACTGGGCGAGGTAGGGGGTTAGTATGCAGAAAAAAAATTGATCATCAAATATGGGATATACTTGGGAAATACTTGGTTACATTTTCTTCAATAGATTTTTCTACTTTAGGACTTTTCAGAGCCTTTGGTATGCTAATGTACATTGCAAATCTTCAAAAAAGCTTTAGATCTTATTAACCCTTCCCGACTTGTTTTGTCCATGAACCCCAACTTTGGAGAGTAAAGAAATCGTTTTTCATGAAGACACTTTGAGAAATGTTGTCCTTGAATCGTTTAGAACAATTCTCTCAAATTGTGGGCATACAAATTAACCAGAGACCTTATTATTAAAAATGCACATTTCCATCTCAGACATTAAAATTGAGTAGGTCTTGGGTGAGGTCCAGAAATATTCATTTAATAAACATTTCAGGTGATTTTGAAGTGAGTGATCCATTGCACACACTTTGGAAACCACTGCTTTAGAGCTAGAGTTGGAAGGCAAGTAAATTTAATCCTTGATTTTAGAGATAAGGAAACTGAGGCACTGAAAGTGATTTTTCATACAGTGAGTTTTTTGTGAAGTCAGGGATTGGTCTGAACTCCCAGATTAGAAAAAACCTCTCTCATCACGTAATGAGACATGCGGTACTTCATATGTATCTGAGATTTCTGGAAATAATAACAAATTAAGCATTCAAGGAGTGTTGAAATCACGGAAGGATAAGTAACTGAATGAATGAGTAACTGTATACCCCTATTCTACTCACTTATACCTCTTTTGATGCAACCCAAGAGCACAGTTTGTTTGATGGGTTCTACTTTATGGCAAAGAAAACTGAGGTTCAGAGAAGTTAAGTAATTCGTTCAATGCCACACAGCAAGTCAATGGTAAGGTCATAGTTGTAAATCAGGATTTTTTTCTGATTCCAGATTTCATTCCATGGCCAACCTCAGACCCTAGAATCAGAAGTGGATTTGCTTCTCAGCTCTGCTGCTTGCTAATTGTGTGACACTGCTCAAGCAACATAACTTCTCTGAGCCTTTTGTGTAAAATGAAGATAGTAACTCGCTTCATTGCTTTGCTGAAGGCATTAAATGAGGTAAAGTGTGTACACCATGGCAGGTGCCTAGCATGTGCTAAGCACTTTGTAAATATTAACTGCTGCTAATAATAATATTGATAACTGTGAATAGCATCTAAAAGAGAGCAATGCACATCGTGAAGGAAAATAAATTTCTTTTTTGGATAACAATGCCATGGTCATAAGCTTGTAAGGTCTGGCTTTCTTGGTGTGTCCTGTTGGGTCCCAGACTCTCAGAATCCCAGAATGGAAATGGGCTCTCGAATTCACCTGGTCTAAGACCCAGCCCCTAATGTAGATTCCCTGTGAGAAGGTCCCAGCAGCCGCATCTTCTCTCAGTTTATCACCTCCACTGACAGTGAATTATTTCTAGACAAATAGGAGCAATTTTTAGTGCCCCATTTCCCGAAGTGTTGCCTAAGCACTACAACCCCCAGAAGCTGGTCCTTAAGAAAAGAATTCTGCATTCAAATAAGCTTGAGCAATGTCATTTGCTATTTTTTTTTTTTTTAAATGCCGTGGTGTGATCTGGGTGGCTCACTGCAACCTCTGCCTCCCGGGTTCAAGCGATTCTGTGCCTCAGCCTCTCTAGTAGATGGGACTACGTGCACGTGCCACCATACCCGGCTAAGTTTTGTATTTTTAGTAGAGACAGGGTTTCACCATGTTGGCCAGGCTGGTCTCGAACTTCTGACCTCAGGTGATTCCCCCGCCTCAAACTCCCAAAGTTCTGGGATCACAGGCTTGAGCCACTGTGCCCGGCCTGTCATGTGCTCTTAACTGCCTCCCCTCACCCTACCCAGATATATTCATAACACCCATGTTCATGTTCAAGGCTCTGAGAAGTCCTGCAGTCAGGAAAGAAAAGTCACTCTTCGTTGAACCCATGGCTCTCCAGACTCATTTGATCAAAAAGCCACATTGACAGGCAGTTGAGCTTTTCCTCTGTGGAATCACTTTGGGAACTTCTTCTGTGCTAGAAAGTTTCCTCATCTAGTAGTTCATAAGTAATTTTTTTTTCTGCAACCATGCTGCTATGCTATGACATGATTCTGAATTCACATCAAGTCAAAATACTACTGTTATAGTTCTTTTAGGAAATACATATTTACTATTTAGTAATACTATGTAAATACTAAATAGTAAATACTATGTACTTATATATATAACTATAGTATTTAGTAATACTAAATACTAAATACTGTTTAGTATCTGGTACTGGTCCTAGTTGGTATGCACTGGTGCAGTTTTACTGGTTGTTTACAGCTGACATCTACTCTGAAAGCCCTCCGTCTGTGCCACATTGGTTGTTAATATTTTGAATGCCACTTCTGCTAACAACTCCTCAAGACTGTTCTGTCTCAAAGTCCATCGCTGTAATTCTTCGTTCTGTACATCAGCTTCCTGAGTCCCATCTCTTCTCTAACGGGACTCCTTGCCCAGCTCAGACCCTACCTTATCCTTTAACTTGCTTCTGCTACTAGTTAGTGACTTTAGTTTCTCTTCCTGACTCTCAGGGAACTTGTCCCCAGAAAATGTGCCAGAGAAGAAAGGTTAATGAAGAGTCACAAATCCCAGCACAGCACTCGGTGTTCAAAAATTGCCATTTGACCTTGAAATTCAAGCATGCCCTTGCACACACGCGCAGACACCTCCCAGACTTCCTAAATGCAAATACCGAACTCTAGCCCTTTGCCTATTGTAGCAGGGGTCTCCCTTCTCCCCATGAGGCAAATCTACTAAGAGAACTTCCAGAGCCCTTTCTTGGGGAGGGGAGGAAGGTTAAAAGTGTATATAGAGCATTCTTTCTGGCTCTGCTCAGGCAGGGCAAAAGGAGTGGGGTTTCTGGTTTCAAAGGGAGTACAAGCAAAGCTGCTGCTTTTGGATGCAGCCCCTCTTAGCAAAGTGAAGAGCTTTTTTTTAAAAATCCTCTCTCTCTCTTGCAAGCAAAGCCATAAATCATGAGCGCTCCTCCGGTTCTGCGAGTGGGGGGTGGATTAAAGTTGTTTGGTTAGATTTGTTTGAATGTGTGTCTTTTGGTCTTCATCGCCTCTCCCTTCATAAACATCAGCTTGTAAGTTCTCGTCCCCTAGAGGACACACCGACAGCATCATGTTAAATATTTAGAACGGGAAACCACCTTACTCCACTGAATCGGAAAAGCAATCTTGGGAACGGCGCTCCACTGGGCATCCCTTCCCTCTCTTGAGCTCCCAGATGAGAAGGCAGCCTCCTTATACCCAGGTGTCACCTCAAACTGTCCCTGAGAAAGGAGTCAGGCTTGGTACCTAGTAGGCAAATGCTTGGCTGGGAAGATGTTGCTCCTTGGAGCAGGTTTTGTAGACCAAGTTTAATCAATAATATATATATATTTTTTGTGCCCGGGGGCAGGGCAGAGTCTTGCTCTGGTGTCCAGGATGGAGTGCAGTGGTGCTGTCTTGGTTCACTGCAACCTCCACCTCCTGGGTTCAAGTGATTCTCCTACCTCAGCCTCCCAAGTAGCTGTGATTACAGGTGTCCACTACCATGCCTGGCTAATTTTTGTAATTTTTAGTAGACACGGGGTTACACCATGTTGGCCAGGCTGGTCTCGAACTCCTGACCTCAGGCGATCCACCCGCCTCAGCCTCCCAAAGTGCTGGGATTACAGGCCTGCGCCAATGTGCCAGCCAAAATACATTTTTAATAGCCTTTTTCTTGTGAGCTAGGTAGTTATCTGGCTCAGTGAAGGAAGGAAAACATGGTAGGAGGAAGAAGTCTGCCAAACCATCTGCCAAAGCATCACCCAAGTCCAGGTGCCTGTTTGTTGATATGTAAAACTGTTCACGCTACTCTCCTGTGGAAAACTTTCTGTGGCTCCCTATTGCCAAGGGAAAAATGTCTACTTGCCACCTAGAACATAGAAAGACCTTTCAGAACTCGGCTCAAGTCTATTTTTCTTTCTTGTTTGTTCCTTCTTTTATCCATGCCTCTGATCTCATCAAACTCTCATGCCTCCTTTTACAAAACATGTATTTTTCATATCTTATATTCACTTCAGACTCGCCACTCCCTGTGCCTAGAGTGATATTTACTCCATGTCCCCTTCGTATCCCAGGAAGAATTCAGCCTGTCTGCTATTAGTTTAGAATAGAGTAGTCCCCCCTTATCTGCAGGGCATATGTTTCAAGACCCCAGTGAAACTGAAGATAATACTAAACCCTTCAAACACTATGTTTTTTTCCTTTACATACAAACTTATGATACATTTTAACTTATAAATTACGCACAGAGAGAGACTAACAATGATGTGGAAAGTGAAACTATGTATGGAGAGGACTACTGTATTTTAATAGTGAATAACAGTAAACAGTAAAAAAGATATGTTGGCTCATGTAACTGAGAAGTCAAGATACATATGGGCTTCAAGTAAGGTTTGATCCAGCCGTTCAAACAATGGCACAGAGGGCCCAGTTTCTTTGTGTCTCTCCACTTTGTCTTCTGCTGTGTCAGACACCACATAGCAAACCCTTGGTAACTCATATCTTCCTTAATGGCAGCAGAGAAGTTCTAGACCTCACATATTCACCCCATAACATTCAGGAGAAAAGAGACTCTCTTTATTTAGCTTCTGCACAAGCCCTGGGATTGACTTTTTACCGGTCCAAGTCAGACCTTGTGTCTATCCCTGTACCAATGGCTGGGACTTTGGGGGGATCATATCTGTTTGTACATGTCATTCCCTCTGCTTGGCATACGCCTCCTTGTAAAACCCCTATTCAACCCTCAAAACCCAAGTCAAATGTCCCATAACTCTTTTAGGCTTCCCCTTTCATTCCAACCTGTCCCTGGTGAGTTAAACTCTTTTCTATGTTCCCAAGACCCTCGATTTTATTTCTCTTTGTGCATACAGCATATTGCCTTAGGCTTCCATTTTTAAATTTGTGACTACCCTACTAGACTGTGAGTTCTTCTAGGGCCACTGACCACACTGGATTCATATGAACTGCCCGCATGTTGACTCACATACTGCCAGACACATAGGAGGTCTCGAATTATCTGTCAAATGAATGTATGTGCAATGTGCGTGGATATCTGCTGTCATCACATCCAGGTTCTGAATCATCAAGCAAGATAGAGAGGTTCTTGAACTCTCAGGCTTGGAGCATAGAGATGACGCTTCCCTGCTGAGCACTGTCTCACTTTTGCAGAAACAACACACATCTCCCAAGGATCATCTCTCAGAGATATCCCAGTCTTAAGAGAGTAATTTCAGCCTGGTTCTAAAAACAGATGGTACAGGGGTCAGACCCTCAGCAGGCTGGCATGTCCCACTCCAATTGGATAATTTAAGGAGACTTTAAAGGAGGAGCATTTATCTTAGATGTAAATAGAGGAGGTGCGGCTGGTTATAGGGAAACCAACTAGGGTAGGAAAGCACTCCAGGATTACTGACATGAGGAAGCTGTTACAACCTCAAATCCTATGAGAGCAGTTTTCAAAAGCCAGAGTGTGAGAGCTGAAAGGGACTGCCATCTCACAGAAGCAAGGGGCTTCAGAAGAAGGAGACAGGGAAACCCCAGCGCCCTGGCATACAGGAGACCAGTGGGTAAAACCCGGCCCTCACTCTTTTCCTGCCAGTGCCTCCCATTGCCCAAACCCAGTGGACACCAGGACTCAAGGGAGCTGCTGATATACCATGTAGGTCAGCCTCCTGCGACAGAGCAGAGTGGAGAAGGCTGAGGAGGCACAAGACAGCTGCCCATAGGGTAAGGTGAGTCAGACCCTGGAAAATGAGGCTGTGACTAGCAGGGGCCAAATGGGTTTTATCTTATTTTATTTTTTTAATATTCTGCTAACTTGACCTCATTTTTTCTTTTTGGATCAGAGAAGATGGCAGATTGTCTACCTTGATTCTAACTAGTCAATAAATAAAGATCAGCTAATTGGAAAAAAAAAAAGCAATTAGTTAATTCTTGAATTAGTATTTCCTTTAGATATTTGGCATAGGTTGTTATGTTTTCAGGAAAGGTGGTAAAGGTGGGCTAGATGTCTGCAGTCATCTGTGGGCCTCCCTGCAGGCTGCATAATTCTCACCCAATGGGGGTGGATGAAGAATTGCAGACAGGCAGGAAGATGGTTATGAATCCGTATGGCAGGGCTCCAGCAGCAGCCTTGCCTGCTCATACCATTGTTATCAATGAATTGATTAAAAACAGAAGATGTCTGTTTATTGTATTTCCTGGTGACAGGAAGTCTGAAGAACTGGCTATCAGTTTGGATGACAGGCTGGGATGGCAAATGGATGAAATGATGAACTGAGTTAAACGGGATCCCTCGAGTTAACTTTTGATACTCAAAATGCCAAATGCAAAAGCCTCAGGCCAGAGTTGGCTTTTAAGGAATGAGTACCAGTTGGCCAGGCAGAGGGAGCAAAAGCGAGAGAAGCACATCCCAGCTGGAGGACCCAGCAAGAGCAAAGGAATGCAGGTATGAAACACTGTAGGCTGCAGGCTGCGGATGGATGCATTGAGAGGCAGGAAGTAAGAAGAGGTGAAGCAGAAGAGGTAGTGAGAACTCTGCCTGAGAAGGGCTTGGTCAGGAGCATGGAATTCACCCCAAAGGTGACTGGGATCGTGCAAGGGTTTTTAGGAAGGGAGTAAATAGAGAAGATTATTTATTTATTCGTGTATGTATGTATGTATTTTTAATTAAATCAGTTGATCGGTTCAGGATTTTTTCGTAAAATTTTATCATGAGAACTTTCAAACATACAGAAAAGTTGAAAGAATTATACAAGGAACATCTGCACATCCCCTATCTGGCTGCTATAATGGATATTTTGCTAGATTTGCTTTATCACACATCCGTCCATCCCTTCATACTTCTAACCACTTCTAGCCACTCACCAATCCATGTTCTTTTTTTTATAAGTTGCAGATATTGGAATACTTTACTTCTAAGCTCTTCAACATTCATAGCCTTAACTACAGTTCACACTTGTTAACACAGATTTGATTTTAAATATAAAATCATTACATGTCACAGCTAGTTAGCAAATCCAATCCATGGAGCCTGATTCCAGGGCTAGTGCTTATGCTCATATTCATCATCACACGGCATCTGGATGGAGCCTCTTGAGCTTTCAGCAGACGACTGAGCCAAGAGGTGCTTGCCAATTAATGAGATGGAGATTTAATACAGGAGGAGGAGTCTGCACAGTTACCCGGGCAGGACCAAGATAGAGCAAGACCAGAACCATGGAGGAGAGATGCTAGGTGCCCATCAACTTGCTGCCCCAGGACTCAGAAAGCCTTTGAAGAGAGTTGAGTGTTTGGACAGACCCTGTTCCCTGATGGTCTTTATATCCCTGATTCAGCTCAGAGCACTTCCCTTATGGAAGACTGAGCAGGGCTCTGAGTCCTAGTTCAGCACTAAGCAACTTCCTGAACATGTTGAAGAAAACAAAATAAACTCCAGAAGTACTAGAAAAAACAGTGGAAGGACTGTTAACTGAAGACTGAGCGTTAATGCTTGGGGTTGGAATTCTGATGCTACTGTGTTTAGCTACCTGTTGAAACCCAAGCCAGTATCCCCAGTTTATCCATTTGTGTATAGTTGGAGAACTCCGAAATGCTCTTTTCGTTTTGTACCGGCCTAGATTTCTCAAGGCAGAACGGGATTTCCTTGGGATCCATGGGAGTTTAGACATGGTTCATATCAAAATCTCTTAGCGATAAATCAGACTGCTTAGTACATCATCTGCCATCAATATATGATTAAGTGGAGATTTAGTAGGAACCCAGTCAATAAATAAAGATCAGCTAATTGGAAAAAAAGCAATTAGTTAATTCTTGAATTAGTATTTCCTTTACCTATCAACTATCAATGCTAATTTTGTGCAGGGGAAGAGTTTAGATTTTTCTGACCTAGGATAAAGCTATTTTATCCAATAAGCAATGAAACTGTGTTAGGATTTCCACAGGCATTTTTGCATTATATGGAAAGTAACTAGACACAGACTCAACAAAATGTTAGGACATAAACTTTTGCAATCAACTTGTAAATTCTCAATAAACATAGGGGAGATCAGAGAGAAGAATGCCAAGAAAAAATCTCATTAGCTTTCTTCCTAGCCTGGACTTAATAGTAGAATGTAATTTGGCTAATGGAGTTTGTGTTTTTCATTAAATTATATGAACATTAAAAAGATATCTAAAACAATAAAAATATTCCAGGAGGTTAATTATTCTTCGAGTTATTCATTCATCCTCACTCTGTCAAGCTGAACCTCATACATTCTGTCTGAGTAAGGCAAAGGTGAATATTTTTTATCATAATAGGGGCTATATCTTGGTCCTTTGAAACATTCCTGGAGCTTTAGGTTGAGAAGGCTCTTAGAAGATCTTACTTAACAGTTTTATTTTAGATATGGGTCTGTATCATAGACAGAGTGCAGTTAGATTTTATTTCCACCTAGAAGGAGCCCGTATGATCCAGGAAGGAGGAAAACAAATCACAAAAGTTATCAGGCTCTGTGCCAAGCACTTTGCAAACACTGTCTCATTTATATATCTGGTGTGATAATAATATAGTTATCTCTATTTTACAAGTAATAACATTAAGGTTTGGGGAGGTTCAAGCCTTTGCTCAAAGTCATATAGTGAGTGGAGGAGTCAGTATTCAAACTCAGGTCTAGCAAACTCAAGAGTCCACATTCTTACTTAAGCTGTGAAAATAAAGCTGAATGGTGGATGTCTCCAGGAAGGCAGATTCTGATTCGTTATAAGGAAGTCAAGGTTTTCCAACAATGGAAAGCCTGAGTGCAGAGATGAGAATTGTGCAAGGCTTGGCAGTATTCAAGCAGAGGAAGGTGATCATCTGTCCGGGTTGTTGCATTGGGATCTCTATTTCAGGAGGGAGGATGACTTGGATTCCTTCATCCTAAGATCCTCTAATGTTTGCGGAAACAAGATGAGGTGGGTTTGGTCATCAGAGATTAGAGACATATTAGAAGATGGCACACAGTTTTTGGATTGATGAGCACTATTTGGGGATTATAATTGGTCACCTTATTCATTTATTTATTCATATATTTACTCACCAATATTTATTGAGCACCTACTCCATGTCAAGCCTTACGTTAGGCACTGGCGATGATCTTGCAGAGTTTACAATCTAGTGATGGAGTCTGAATCTTAAAACAAAACAAGCAAACAAATACACCATTGGCAAATGATGTAAGAGCTATGCCGAAAGTAATCAGAATCCATTGATGGAGAACGGGAGGATGTGGATAGGCTCCACATAAAATGACTCTCCGAGGAAGTGGCATTTAAAGCTGAGACTTGAATTATGAGAAGGGACCAGCCTTGGGAAGTTCTGAATGTGGAGCACTCCTGGAAGAGCGAAGAACTTGTGCGAGGGCACTGATGCAGGAAGAGCTTGCTCAAGCAACTGACAAAGGCTCATGAGGTTGGAGCAGTGAGATGGTGAAATCGAGCTGAGTGAAGTTGAGTTAGTTGGTGAAGAGCTAGTTTGTACACCACACAAAGCAGTTTATGCCAAGTGCAATGGAAAATCATTCAAGTATTTTCAAGAATGAGAGTAATGGTATCTGATTTAAGTTTTTAGAAGATACCTCTGGCTTCCAGGTGAAGGATGAATTAGCAGAAGCCAAGAATAGAAGCAAGGAGACCTGGAAGGAGGCTATGCAGTCACCCAAATGGGACATGATGGTGGTGGCTTAGAGGAAAGCAATGGTGGCAAAAGGTTAGAGGTGTGGAAAAATGTGGAATATATAAATATTGGAGGTAGGGTCAGAAGGATTCACTGATGGGTTGGAAGAGCCTGAGATAGACTACATGGGAAGAAGAAAGCAAGAGATAGAGGGTAAATCCCAGGTTTTTGGATGGATAGTAGTAGCGGTTTCCTAAGATGGTGCACCAGGCTCTTGTGAACAGCATAAAGCTCACAACCATTGGGGCCCAGGGTCATTCCCATAGACAAAGCAACTTCACACACACACACACACACACACACACACACACACACACACACACCCCTAAAACATCAGGGCTCTGTCAATTACCGATGGTAAACCACAGGCTGGATCTTGACCAATCCCAGGCTCCCACAAAAGCCAACAATTAAAAGGCATATCCTTGCTGGATGACCAGCCACTCTGGAGACCCCATACTCCCTAGGGGTTGTCTAACAGCTTTCAAGAGTACACCCCAGCTCTAGCTCCCGAAAACCTGGCCCCGGCCCTAGGAAGTGTTTCAATAATGGATGATCACCAATAAACAGCCAGCGATTTGCTGGAAATTATGAGCAATAAATAATTGAGAGGTAGGGAGCCTGACCAGTGGTACCCTTGCCTCCTGCTGATTCTCCTTAATGCATTTCCTTGATGCAACTCCCCGTAGTGTAGGGCGCAGACAGTAACGAGTCTTTCAGAAGATGCTGACCAGAGAGTTATAAATAAATGAGCCTCTGCATATGGTAACAACAGGGAGCAGCTCAATAAAGACATGACTGAGCCGCCCCTGTTCAACCCATGTGGACTCCAATTGCTTTTGTGTGAAGCACCCTTGTCCCCAGCAGGGAACTGACCTCTAAGACCTTGAGAAAGGCTCCAGGTTGCAAATCTAGATAGGTTTAGGGAGAGATGAGAAGGGTTGAGTCAATCATGAAAAGAAATTGAGGGAAGTTTTGTGATTAGCTCAGTTGTCCAGATCATAAGGAATTTAAGCTGCCTTTTCTCATCAAGTCTCAACTCCTATGCCTTTCGTCATCAAGTCTCAACTCCTATGCCTTTCGTCATCAAGTCTCAACTCCTATTCCTTCCCTCCTCAACTTCTATGCGGAGATCATACCAATGTCCGCATGGCTCTTGTCATTTGTTATAACCTCTGCTGCTCTGATTCAGTGCAAGCCACCCTCATCTCTTGCCTGTGTTATTGCAATAGCCTCAAACAGTACTCTCTACTCCAGTCTACTTTCAATACAATAGCCAGAGCAGTTCTGTTAATAGATAAGTCACAGCATGTCTCTTTCATCTGCACAAAGCCTTTCAATGATGTCCATGGGAACCAAAGTGAAAATCAAAGTCCTTTCCAATCTGGATGCCCCATTAGCCCTCTGGCATCCTCTGTTCCCACCCCATCAGGATTTTTTGTTGTTCCTTGCACGGATCAGACAAACTCCCACCTCCAGGCCCTTGTTTTCTATTCCTCCAGATATTGAGGCTTAAGAGTCATGAAGACTCTTTATCCAGATATCAGCATGGCTTTCCACATCACTTTCTTCAGGTCTTTGTTCACATATCAACTTTTGGAGAGGCCTTTCCTGACCACCATATTGAATGTTAAATTATTTCTCTGCTTAGAGCATGCATACTTGTCTAGCTCCCTTTTTGACCTTATTTTTCCAACCCTTTTTCTTTTATCATCACCTGCATTAGTTTTCTCTTGCTGCCATAACTAACTACCACAAGTTTAGCAGCTTACATAACACACATTTATTTTCTTACAGTTCTATAGTTTGGAAGTCCAACACAGGTCTCAGTGGAGTGAAATCATGGTGTCACCAGGGCTGCTTTTCTTCTGGAGGTTCTAGAGGAAAATGCACTCCCTGGCCCTTTCCGACTTCTAGAAGTCACACACTCGGCTCCATCTTACTCCACCTTCAAAGCCAGCAACCTTGCGTCTCTCCAGCCATTCCTCTGAGGTCTCATTTTCTCTGAACTCTTTTTCTGCCTCCCTCTTCTACTTTTAAGTACCCTCATGGTTACATTAGGCCCACCCAGAGAATCCAGAAGAATCTCCTCCCTATTTTCAGGTTAGCTGCTTAGAAAGCTTAAATCCATTCGCAACCTCAGTATGTCTTTGCCTTGTGGTATGGTTTGGCTGTGTCTCCCCCCAAATCTCACCTTGAATTGTAATAATCCCCACATGTCCAGGATGGGGCCAGGTGGAGATAGTTGAATCATGAGGCAGTTTCCCCCATACTGTTCTCATGATAGTGAATACATCTCAAGAGATCTGATGGTTTTATAAAGGGTAGTTCCTTGCACACATTCTCTTGCCCATCACCAGGTGAGAAGTCCCTTTGCTCTTCCTTTGTCCTCCACCATGATTTTGAGGCCTCCCCAGCCATGTAGAACTGTGAGTCCATTAGACCTCTTTCCTTTATAAATTACCCTGTCTCAGGTATGTCTTTATTAGCAGCATGAGAATGAACTAATACACCATGTAACCTAACATGTTCCAAGATTCCAGGGATTAGAATGTGGAATCATTTGGTGCTATTGTTCTGCTTGCTAGATCATCCAACTGTAAACTTTGATATGTCTGTCTCTGCTAACTCAAATGTAAGGTGCAGGAGGGTAGAGTGTTATTTCAGATGGGCTCATGGCTTTATCTACATCTGACACCTGCAATAGTGCCTGGTACATAGCAGTTGTTAAAAAAAATTGGTTTTTGAGTGAATGCTTGAACATATGATGCTCTCAGATCATGCTCCACCCTTCTCCACCCACTTTGGGGCCTTGGAAGGCCGATCTATATGTGCTGTGTCAGCAGGTTCCTTTACCAAGTGGGTGCTGTTCCCTGTCTGGAATGTTCTCATGTCTATCCTGAAAGTTTCAAACTCTTAGTCACCCTTAAGACCTAACACCTTAACATCCATTCTGTGAAGCTTCTCTGATTCTCCCAGGAAGAAGAAAAATTACTCTCTCCTCTGTGTCTGTCCTCACAGCAATTTTTTGCATCCTGGATGGTGTCTATCTCCTTCCCTAGAATATTGTAAGAATATTGCAATCATGTCTTTTGTTTTCTGGCCTTTGTGTTCCTGTATCTAGCATATAGTAAGTATTCAGTTATTCCTCCATTGTATTCATTTATTTATCTTGGTGGAAAAATCCAGTGCCTGGGAACTCCAGATTTGAGAATTCAGTAGCAACTGGGGCACGAGACCCTAGAGACGAAGTGTATATTACACTTAGGAAAGTAACAATAAAAATTGCTTTGAGTACTTACTACTTGCCAGGAGTTGTGTCGAGTATTTTACATGCATTATCTTATTTATTTCTTACAAAGAAGCCAGTATGCTGCCAAAGTCTATGCTCTTTACCATAAGACTAAAATGCCTAGGACAGTTGAAACCAGCAATCACTTGTCATATGGCAGAGAAGGAGGATGTGAGTTCTAATGCAAATGTTTGTATAGTCTGTTCCGAAGACATATACACAGAGGAGAAAGTGAGAAGAGAGGGAGAGGGAGGGAGAGAGAGAGAGAGAGAGAGAGAGAGAGAGAGAGAGAGAGAAATAACACAATCTTAAAGGCCAAAGAGAAACAGAGGAAAGAAGATAGAAGAGAGAGATCCAGAAGTCAAGAAGTAACTGCTGTTTCCAGCTCAGAGTGACATTTTAGATGTTCCTTTGGTGCTGATTTTGTGAAACACAGTCTAACCTGGCCATTGATTTCTGGGTCTAAACTTTATTGAGGCTAATAGGATTAGATGAGACTAACAGTTGGGCATCATGAACTTGACTTTCAGGTCAGTGAGTGAGGTGGGAATTCCAGACACATTAGCAAGTTTAGAGGATGAAATCTTTGGAGAAAGGGGGACTGTCATGGATTCTGAAGGGACTGAGGAGTATTTGGTACACACCTGTGCGAACCCTAGGGCTCTGGGGAGCTGAGCCCCAAGGGAGATGCTAGAAAGGTGGGGACTGTGGCCTGCCACCCCTGTTGGAAGCAGCACGGACTACTTTTTTATGTTCTGGATGTTGCTCTGTTTCGATTGTTGGTTTTTGTTATTGTTTTATTCTTTTTGAGTTTTTTTTAACAAAGGGTCTCACTCTGTCATCCAGGCTGGAATGCAGTGGCACAATCATGGCTCACTGCAGAGTCGACCTACCAGGGTCAAGCAATCCTCCCTCCTCAGCCTCCCAAGTACCTGGCAACACAGGTGCATGCCATTACACCCGGCTAATTTATTTATTTTCTTTTTATTTGAAGACAATTGCTATGTTGCCCAGGCTGGTTTCAAACTCCTGGGTTCAATTGATCCTCCTGCCTTGACCTTCCAAAGTGCTGGATTACAGGCATGAGCCACCACACCCAACCAGATGTTGATCTTTCACACACCATCCTTCGTGAAGGAAGGGTTCCACTGCTTGGATGAAGGAACGAAACCACCTCTTCATTGGTGAAAGGTGGATGTTGAGAATCAGGGAGGGGGCATTTGTGTAATATGTCTTCTGTTTCCCCGAACACAGCCACTATTCCCCCTTCTCCACTCAGCATTCTGCCCTGAGAAAAGTAACCAGGAAAACTGTATCAATGGTCTTCTGTACCTCCTGAATTCTGGCTGGATTTGGCCAATGAGAGCACTGGGAAGTCAGAGAGAGGGTGGCAGAAGGAGAGAAAGGCTGATGCATTCAGTCCCCCTGCTCCCTTCTTATGGTATCATCACAGACTTTGGTCCCTCCACCAAAGCTCACAGCTCCTGCCAGGTGACCCTATTGCACAGCCATCCAACTCCAGGTTGAGCCCCCACTCCCTCCTCTTACCCTCTCAGGTGTATACGACCTTCTCCCCTCCTTACCGGCTCCCTGATGAGGTTCTGTCACACTCATTGCTAGTTTCCCCACACCATGCCCAGTCTTTGCAGTTAGATTCTTCCTTAAATTCTCCCCAAAATTTCCTGACTTGAGTATACCCTTTGCTTCTTGCCAGGCCTTCTTTCCAAGGTCCCCGCCTTCTTAGCATCTTGCTTGGGGCTCCGCTCCCCGAAGCCCTGTGGTTTACACAGGTGTGCACCAAATACTCCTTGGTCACTTCAGGACCCACAGCAGTCCCCCTTCCTCCAAAGATTTCCTCCTCTGAACTTGCTAACGTGTCTGGAATTCCCACCTCACTCCCTGACTTGAAAGTCAAGTTCATGATCCCCAAATGTCAGTCTTATCTAATCCTATTAGTTTCAATAACGTTCAGACCCAGAAATCAATATTCAGGTTAGACTGTACTTAACAAAAATCACTGCTAAAGTGACATCTGACTCTGATGGACACTATGTGACTTGCTCAAGATCACATGGAGAGTCAGGGTTAGAGTTCTGCTCTCCCAGATTAGTGGCCTTTTGGTGTGGCAGATCCCAGGGGACACTGCCTCTTTTTCTTGGGGAAGCAGTTTAGGGGCCTCTGACATCAGCCAGGCCAGAGAGTGATGCGGGAGTCACCCAGATTAGGCTGGAAAGGCACAGAGTCTATCTTGAGTCACGTTGGAAGAGAAGAATGAGAAATTAAAGTGCTCAGGACCCTCTGCCAGTCCCAGGACCTGGGAAGACCTCAGCTCCCAAAGTCAACTGACAAAATAATAGTGCCTAGAGAGTGGATACTAAGCATTTTGCAGACAGCGAACTTGTTAGATCTCCATAACAAGCCTACAAGGGACTTAACATTGATTATAAGGCAAACGTGTCCAGAGATTTTTAAATGAGCATTTAAAATTCAATGTAATAGGTGTTATTTTCATTTTGCCAGTGAGGAATAGCCTCTTCCCTCTCATTAATTTTATTACTGTTATTATCTGTATTACCATGATCATGAGTATTATTTTTATATCCAAACCATGTGTCAGGTCTTAGGGAAACAAAATCTCATAGAAATCCACAAGAAGGAAGGGAGCTTCACTATAGTGTGGGCTCCATGTGGGTAGAGGCTGTGCTGGATTGGTTCTCATTAGGTGGCCTCATTTCTGACTGTAGTTTCTGAAACATGGCAGGCACTCAGCAATCAGGCCTCTAGGGAAGGGAAGGGAAGGGAAGGGAAGGGGAGGGCAGGGGAGCGGAGGGGAGGGGAGGGGAAGGGAGAAGAGAGAGGGAAGGGAAGGGAAAGGAAGGGAAAGGGACGGGTGGGGAGGGGAGGGAGGAGAAATAAGGAGAGGGAGAGGAAGAGAGGGAGAGAGAGAGGGAAGGAAGGAGGAGAAGGGAAGGGAGGGGAGGGGAGGAGAGTGGGGAGAGGGAGGGAAGGGAAGGGAAAGGAAGGGAAGGGAAGGGAGAAGAAAGAAGGAGAGGCAGAGGAAGGGAAGGAGGGAGAAAAAGGGAGGGAGGGAAGGGAGGGGAAGACGGGGAGGGGAGGGGAGGGAAAGGAAAGGAAGGCAAGGGAAAGAGGAAGGGGGAGAAAGGGAGAGAGAGGAAGGGAAAGGAAAGGAGAAGAAAGAAGGACAGGGAGAGGAAGGGAGAGAGGGAGAGGAAGGGAGGGAAGGAGGGGAAGGTAAGGGAAGGGAGGAGAGGGGAGGAGAAGGGAAGGGAAGGGACTAATTTGTGAGGTCATGGCCTTTGGGATGCCAAGGCCAACTCCAGCATTGTTACTCAAGCTTTCTAAATCTGGGTTCCGTGTCTGTAAAAGGAGAATGAGAGCAGCACCTATCTAGCAGGGTTATTGGAACACATGCACAGTGCCTGACTCTGTGCCCAGCACTAAGTAGGTGCTCAATGAATACCAGTCCCCTGTTCTCCCCACCACTGGCTAAGACAGCACCAGGGCTGGGGAGCAGGAGGGAGGGATGAGTTCACTGCCTCTGGAGCGGGGTCCCCTGGGATGCTCCCTTCCAGGGTCACTGCCTGAGAGCCATGTGAGCACAGCCCCAGATGGCGATGGTTGGGAAGGGGGTCACAGGGTGAAGTTGAAGGAGATTCATGACCTTGACTGTCCTCCACAGCCTGATTTATGGAGCAGTGCCGTCTCCTGGATGATATGGAGACACTGTGAATGAAAGAGCTGTGGAAAACCTTAATCCCCAAGTGGCAGAAAGAGATACTCTCATGGCCAGTGTGTGTTTGATCACATCCATCAGGTGAGGCATGATTTCCCCACATGGAATCCAATTGGTTGTCAGGCCTAAGCTGGTGTTTCTGAACTAGGAATGAAATATGTTCCCCACTTAGCCAACAAAATCCTTGGCTGATTTTGCTCCAAAAAAGGGTCTGGCCTCAGAATATTATAGTCATGTCGCTGAGCCAATGCCAGCATTTAGGGGGTAGGACAGCAGGGAAAAGAGGAAGTGAGGGAAGAAACCCCCTCAGAAAAAAGAAACACCCAAGCCCCTTGGGCTGGTGAAGGCTTCGAGCAGAGCTGTGATGTGTGCAGTCTCTTAACGACCAGGCTTCTGGGAGGGCAGCGGGGAAGAACTGGGGGAGAAGTTACTGTTTGTCTTCCTATGTGAGGATGCTGGTTGGATGGTCTAATGGGACCTAGAAGCAAGAGGAAGCAGCTCTCTTGGCAAGACCGACTCTTCTCTGTAGTTTCCCTGGGTCTGTGCTCCCGGCCGTGCAGGCTGCCAGAACCATTCAACATCCAGGGTGGATAATGGGAATCCCATAAGCGAGAGGTGGCTGAGATTCAAGGCTCTGTCTGATGGAACCGTGGCCAGAGGAGAAATTCTGACTTCCTAATTCTCAGACCTGCCTCTGCTCACCGGGTGTCTTGGACTCGCTACTCTGAAGGCATCGACTTCCTGAGAGACAGTTCCCTGTGGTCCTCCCCTTGGTCCTTGGTTCACAGGATAGCAATTTATAGCCTCGACGCAGAAAGAAAAGGGTGACACCTTCTCAACCTCTAGATTCAGGATCCTTTTGCTACAGCGACTCTCTGAACTCCAGTGTGTAGTAGTTCTGTCTGTGGTTGGTTTTCTACGTGCCCCAAGCCTTCTAAATGTGGTGCATGCTGCTGTGGGATGTCCAGTCACATTTTCTGCTTGGTAAACACAAATTTATTCCAAGAGCCTGTTAAAATGTCACCTCCACTGAGAAGCCTGATACATCTTCCTATTCTGTCCCACAGCACTTTGTGCATCTCTCTCATGAGCCATATTTAGGTAATTTTTTAGTCGTCCTCATTCTCACTACACCAGGGGCGTCATGAGCTGAATAGCATCTCCCCCAGATTCATACGTTGAAACCCTGGCTACCAGCACCACTGAATAACTGTATTTGGAAACAGGATCTTTAAAGGGGTAATTAAGTTCAAGCAAAGTCATTAATATGGGCCCTAGTCCAATAGGATTGATGTCAATATAAAATAAAGAAATTTGGACACAGACACATACAGAGGGAAGATGATGTGTAGACAGGTAGAAGCCGCCACTGCAAACCAAGGAGAGGAGCTTCAGAAAGAACCAACCCCGCCCACACTTTGATCCCCAACTTCTATTCCAAAGCTTTCAGAAAATATATTTCTGTTGTTTAAGCCCCCACCCTGCCACCATATGCAGTACTTTGTTACAGCAGCTCTTGCAGACTGATATAAGATGGACAGCAAATGTTCCCTGCAGTCAAATGCCCTACTAAGTTATATACCTCCTGTACATTTTTTTTTCTGAAAGGACTAGATGGTAAATATTCTCAGCTTTGGTGGGTCATAGGGTCTCTGTCACATGTGCTCAACTCTGCCATCGTAACATGGAAGCAGCCATAGGCAATACACTAACAAGGGGGCATGGCAGTGTTCCAAAATGCATTACTTGCAAAACGGACAGCAGGCCAGTGAATTGGAGCACAGTGACAATAAAGGAAAGGCAAGCACAGAGAAATACGCCTCTCCTGCTACTGAAGATTATCAGCAGTGAGACATCAGTTTGACCCTCTGTCCATCCTAGTTCCCCAGACAAAGAGGGAGGTGCTCTGGCTCCTGAGCTGTGGTTTGGCGACCGCCGTATGAGATGAAAGTTCCATGAGGCCAGGGTTTATGACCATTTTTGGCACACAGTAGAAGTTCAATTACTATCTGTTTTAAAAAGTTAACTTTTAAACGCCTGTAATCCCAGCACTTTGGGATGCCAAGGCAGGCGGATCACAAGGTCAGGAGATCGAGACCATCCTGGATAGCACGGTGAAACCCCGTCTCTACTAAAAAAACAAAAAAATAGCCGGGCGTGGTGGCAGGCGCCTGTAGTCCCAGCTACTCGGGAGGCTGAGGCAGGAGAATGGCGTGAACCCGGGAGGCGGAGCCTGCAGTGAGCCAAGATAGCGCCACTGCACTCCAGCCCAGGTGACAGAGCGAGACTCCGTCTCAAAAAAAAAAAAAAAAAAAAAAAAAAAAACTTTTAAAATTGTTTAATTTCAAAATAATTATAAAATTTATAAAAATAGGATAGCTGCATGTAGCTTCACCTTTACCTGGGTTCATCTGTGGCTCATTATATGTCAAATCAATATATGTCCGTTTATATATAGGCATTAAAGCCAGAAAGATCTGCTCTGCCCATTTCCTGATACGATGCCTGGGCAAGTGACTTAACCCCTCTGAGCCTCAATTTCTTTGCCGAAAATAGTGATAATAATAGAACCTACCCATTAGGCAGCTGGAATTTAAATGAGAAAATACATGCAAAGATGTTCTCACTTAATAAGTGGGAGCTGAACAATGAGAACACACGGACACAGGAAGGAGAACATCACACACTGGGGCCTGTTGGGGGAGGGGGTGGGGGAGGAAGAGCATCAGGAAAAATAGCTAATGCATGATAGGCTTAATACTTAGGTGCAGCAAACCACCATGGCACACATTTACCTATGTAACAAACCTGCACATCCTGCACATGTACCCCTGAACTTAAAATAAAAAATACATGCAAAGTATTTCATGCAACATTTGGTACTTTAGTAAGCATTCATAAATGCTGATATATCTTTAAGCAGTTCCACTTTTTTTGTTTCTCTGATGTTTCCAGAGCCAAACACCCCACCCACTCTGAGGTGCAGACCTCAGTCCTCCAGATGACCCTGGGAGAGATCAGCCCACGATTTTTCCTCAGAAAGCTGCTGGGACAAAAGGAAAGGGTCAGACCCCAGGACTTTCTGATGAGCAAGAGAAAATGGGACAACTCCAAGACGGTTAGAGGGGTAGGCCACATGAAGATGGGCTTAAAAATACTTTTTATACTTTTTGTATTTCTGAAGAAACCTGTTAAAAAGAAGTTGAGTCTTTGTGAATGCTTTGGGAACCAAGAGAAGGTCCAGCTCAGGGGCATTCCTTCCTCAAATGCAATCAAATACTTACCATTTCTCACTCCTAGATCTGGCCACCTCCAGGAAGATGATAAAAATCGTAGGAGGAAAGAAAAACCAAAACCATGTGTTGGGAACGAGAAGTGGAAAAGGTGAATTCCACAAAGAAGCATGAAAAGGACTGCAGGGAGACCACATGCGTGGCTCAGCACTGCACAACGGTAGCCTGAACTGGGATTTTCCAAAGATTGTAACCACGAGGAGGGTGAAGGTAGTAACAACAGTCATAATAATAGCTGATATTTACATAGCACTTCCTATCAGCCAGATAATGTTCTGAGAGCTTTACATTGGTATAAATTTATTTATATGGATGAACCCTTAGTAGTTTGTGAAGGGAGATTCTTTTCTTTTTTAATTTTACAAATACAAAAACCAATGCACAAGGCACAAGGAGGCCCAAGGTCACACAGCCAGTAAGTGGCATGGCAGGGATTTGAACCCAGACTACCTGGCTCTAAAGTCTGTGCTCAATCACCAAAGCCAACCAATTGCTTCTCTTCATAAAACAGCCCTGTCAATGGACATGAAGATTGTTTCCACAGTTGTCCATTTTGTGCGATTAACAGGAATCAACAAACTTTCTATAAAGAGCCAGGTTTACTTTCGGTAAATCTGGCCTTGTGGGAAAAGAGGGAAAACTGAGGATATTATCCAAAAAGAACCCCAAATTCCCACAATGTTTTTAATAGACAAATTTGGATTAATAATACAAATTGGATGCAATTATTTTTATTTTTGTGATACATCTATTTATGAGAAGAATGGAATTCTGGCTTTGGGGAGTGTATTAATCCATTTTCATGCTGCTAATAAAGACATACCTGAGGCTGAGTAATTTATACAGGAAAAAGATTTAATGAACTCACAGTTCCACGTGGCTGGCGAGGCCTCACAATTACGGTGGAAGGCAAGGAGGAGCAAGTCACATCTTACATGTGTGGCAGCAGGCAACAAGAGAGCTTGTGAAGGTGTGAGACTTATTCACTATTGTGAGGACAGCATGACAAAGACCTGCCTCCATGACTCAATTACCTCCCACTGGGCTCCTCCCACAAAATGTGGGAATTTAAGATGAGATTTGGGTGGGGACACAGCCAAACCATATCAGCGGGGGATTAACATGGTATAAATAGGGTACAAGGTTAGTGTTCCCCACCATCGTGGTAGAAATATGGCCTCATTCTACGGATCCTTTCCTTGTTTCTCTGAAACACTGATATTCCCACATAAGCACTCTCTAGAAGGCATGGCCAATGTCTCTTAGTGCAGCTGTACCACCCTCCTCATGTTGGAGAACTTCTCATATGGAGAAGCTGGTTAGGAGAGAGTGTCTGGGGAAGACTCCCTGGGTTTGAATTCCAGCTAAACTAGTCAGTAGCTATATGATTTTTGATGACTTACTTAACCATCCTAGAACAGAGATTGTTAACCAGTGATAACTTTGCTCTCCAGGTGACATTTGACTGGAGACAGTTTTGGTTGTTCAAACTTGGGGATGAGAATACCACTGGCATCTAGTGGGTAGAGGCCATAGAAGCTTCTCAACATACTACAATGCATAAGAAAGCGCCCCACAACCAAGAATGACCCAGCCCCAAATGTCAGTTAGCGCTGAATTTGAGACTCCTATTCCAGAAGCTTCAGTTTTCTCATCTATAAATTCATCTGTAGTGTTTTCTCCATAGTAAAGATTAAATGAGCTGTAATAGATGCAAAGACATACAACAGACTATGACATATTGCAAAGCACTTGAGATAAATATTATTATTCCTTTGATTTTTATTCCAAGATTTAGAAACATACAATCATCCTGAGCTTGCAGGCCATACCCAAACAAGATCATGCTGGGGGCTGGATCTGGCAGACCCTGCTCTAGCCTGAGGTTGGAGCAGGAGATCTCAGAGGAAAAAGCATTGTGTTACTGTCTCCTTTCCAGCTCATCCTCCCCGACAGCCACCCCCTCTCTCTCCCTCCCCTCTTAGCCAAGCTTGGAGACTGGATGCAAAAGCCATTATTAAAAAATGAACATGAGTTGTTTTTTCCCCTTTTTGATCAAATAATCCAGTTTGCTGCCTCAGACAAATCATTATTCATGTGGAACCTGCCTGTGCCGCCCTTGGGGAGGAAGACCAAATTGATTTAACATCTAATCCAGTTTGTACCTCCTGCTAACCCCAGTGGTGTGCTAACTTCACCCTTGCAGGATAGGGAGGAAGGAGGTAGGAGAAAGGAGGGGGCAGAGGGAGACACAAGGAAATTAACCCAAGGCGTAAGTCTAAGCCCAGCTTTCTACAAAAGCAAGACAGAGACAAAGCCTGTCATTATAGTGCCCAGTCTTTCTGTCTTAGGCTTTCTCATACTCAGAGATATGTTTTCCTCATCCGTCAGCTCATTAAAATAATAACAACACAATCGAAATGCCAGCCTCTTACTCTGTGATGAGTGGAATCCCTGACATCAAGAGGCATCATGGTGCCCATTTTCCAAGCTAAGGAAGCTGAAGATTACAGAGATCAAAGAGCATGCCATGAGTGCATAGAAAGTTCTAGAACCAGGACTCACCATCAGCCCTGTCTACCCCCAAAGCCCCAAAGCCATAACCACCACATAAACAGCTTTCTGGATGTAGGAAGGCTGTTTGGAAGGATTCTATAGCTTTTTTCCATAAGGGTCATCCACACACAATGCTGCAGACACGTTTGGGTTGCCTGTGTGTGGTGGTTGAAGGGTCAGTTGATCCTGATTATTGCTGGATCTCTGAATTTCCTCCTTTTCCTCACTACTAAGCTTATCTTTCCATGTCTCTGGACTGGGGAGGCGGAGATGGAGGATATAAAGCAGTTTGCTTCCTCTGGATGGAAAGGTAGTGTCCTATGGCACTGGGCAGAGTCCTGGCCTCCGAGGGAACCTCAGAGAGGTCAGTAGCACTGACATGTCTCTGGCTGTGTCCCTCTTTAGTAAGTGGCACATTCTGTGACTGTTGTCCTGAGCCAGCAAGCGGGAGACTTGGGATTTTACTCCAGGTCTTTCTGGCTCCAAGCTGAGGTGCTCATTCCATTGGGTGGCACCGCACCCCCCACCCCCACACTGACTGTTCTTGTTTCCTCTCCTGTTCTGCATTAAAATTTGCACTTAAAAATGGCCTGAAATGTCCATACTGAGGCACCGTCTTTCAAGTGCAAACAGAAAGCAGCTTGAGACAAGCTTCAGGGAAAGAGGTGAAAAGGATAGGAAAGAGAAGGAGATGGAGCAGGCATGGGGCTGCCTATGCCCTAGGTCTCAGTTATAAGGGAGAGAGGGAGGAGGAGAGGAAAAGAGAAGGAAGAGGAGGAGGAGGAAGGGAAAGAGGAAGAAAAGAGGAGAAAGAAGGGAGAGAAGAAGGAGAAGAAGAGAGAAGAGGAAGGAAGAAGATGAGGAGGAAGAGGAGGAGGAGGAAGGGAAAGAGGAAGAAAAGAGAAAGAAGGGAGAGAAGAAGGAGAAGAAGAGAGAAGAGGAAGGAAGATGAGGAGGAAGAGGAGGAGGAGGAAGGGAAAGAGGAAGAAAAGAGGAGAAAGAAGGGAGAGAAGAAGGAGAAGAAGAGAGAAGAGGAAGGAAGAAGATGAGGAGGAAGATGAGAAGGAGAGAAGGGGAAGGGAGGGTGGGGAGAAGAGAGGCTTTCATATGGACTTTGAGAGGAGAGGTAAATCTGGTACTGATAGGACTGCAGGCATCAGAGTGAGTTGGGCATCAGGCAGCACCCCAGCTTTGTCCAGCACAGCGCAGCTCTGATGATAAAGTCCACAGTGAATGTGGCAGGAATGGGCATCCCCAGGGGCTGGCAGCTTTGGGAGGACCAAGAAACAGTGCTTGAACAGAATTGGTGTTTTGTGTTGGACTCCAGCAACCTGGCCGTATGAGATGGAGAGAGAACCTCCCACAAGGCTTTGGAGGCAGCCCCTTAACGGGGGTCATCATAATGGGAAAACAGATTACTCTTCAAGAATGTGTGCGAGGCAACCGCTAGGGATTCCAGAAATAACTGAGTGAGTCATTACGCATGGGAACCCCAAGCTGCACAGGTGAGAACCCGGAGATGGCAGTATTTGAGAGTCAGTGTTAGTGAAAATAACTTCACTGAGCCCTCATCCAGGCACCTTGTGTGTTAATACACTTAATCCTTGGGAAAAGGGAGCATTACCCCCCACTGTTTTATAAAAGGAAAATGGAGGTCTGGTTTATGTCATCACTTAGTGGCAGAGCAGGGATTTGAACCCATGCCGGTGGCTGCCTGGCGATTTCTCTGACCCTCAGGGTTCTTATGCCTGGCTCTGCCCTTGGCCTTATGGGACTTAAGGAAATGGAGATCACATTTGTTGCTCAGGATCTACAGCTCTGGAAGGAATCGCACCAAGGCATCAATGGCATCAGCAGGGCCAGAGGGCCCAAGTCCTCTGCATGAGTGCAAGCCATGGCGGTGTGCGCGTGGGTGCATTTCTTTATGGGCTTGTGGGTGCTTTTGTGTGTGTGTTCTTGTGTGCTTTTGTTTGTTTCTGTGCGCATGTGTCTTTCCATATGCTTTTGTGTTTGTTTCTGTCTGTGTGTTTGTGTGTGCATTTGTGTTTCTGTTTCTATGTTTGTTTGTATTTTGTGTTTGTGTTTCTGTGTGTTTATACATGTATTTGTGTGTGTTGATATGTGTTATTTGGATGTTTGTTTATCTTTTTGAGTCTTCATTTCTGTGTGTGTTTTTGTGTTTTTTGTGTGTGTTTGAATGTGCCTATGCCTGTATTTGTGTTTCTGTGTGTTTTTGTTTCTCTGCATGTGTGTGTTTCTCTATGGGCATTTCTATATGCTTTTGTGTTTGTTTCTTTGTGTTTCTGTGTATGTTTTTGTATCTCTGTGTATGGGTTTGTGTTTCTTTTTGTGTTTGCTTCTACCTGTGTATATGCATTTGCGTGTGTGTGTGTTGGCGTGTGTTTGTTTATATGTGTGTTTATATGGGTATTTGTGTCTATCTTTTGTGTTTGCATTTCTATATGTGTTTGTGTGTGTCTCTGTGGGTTGTGTGTATACTTGTGTATGTCTTTTGTGGAACTGAGGCTGGAAGACAGAGATGATAACTAACACCAGAACAGACTTCCCATAGAGACGAAACAGCATCACCAAAGGGTAAAGTAAATGAGACAGGCCAGCATCCCATCCTGGCTGGGAGCAACAGCTACATCTCCATTCCTGGGCTCTGCCCTCTCCAGTGTGGGGTGTGGACAGCCCCCAAGCCTCTTTCTTGTGCCCCTTGCAGCAGCCCCTTCATGCTGACTCATCACCACCAGGGCCAGCATCCATCTCACTGGGTTGATGCTGGTTCAGCAACTGCCTTTCCTCCTGTGCCCCTTCATCCAGATCTGCCTGTTTCACTGTGTGGGGCTGCATGGCCAGCCCTAGGGAGAACCCTCACCCACAGTCTACATGGACGGTGTCTCTAGGCCTGTGACGTGTGCAGCCTGCCCAAGCTGCATGCATTTCTCCCTCCAAACCTCCTGTCCATTCCCAGATTCCAGGTTTGCATTATTCTATGGGACCTTCAATAATTCAGATGGGAGATCACACTCTAGTGACAGAGAGGGCCAGGAGGAGGGTGGGATGCACCATATGAAGTGTGTCCCCTGAGCTCTGGGTGATGGAGCCCCCAACAGTTGCCTGAGTCTTGTAGCAGAATTCAATGACCGACTCTGCCTGGGATGTTACTGGTTGATTTGGGCAGCAGATGGGCTCTCTGACCCCTGACACACCCTGGAGCTCAGCATTCAGGAAGGAGCAGAGAAGAGCTGACAAAACTCTCTGAGCTGGGGACATTTTGAAAAGAAAGCACGAACCACCTGAAGCAAGATATTTATTTCTCCATCTGCCTCCACATTCAAGTGACTGGGAAGGTTCCTGGATTTGTCCAAATGAGAAATGAGGCTGCACCCTTGGCCAGGGATATGGCAGGCCACACAGTCCTTGACATAAGCTAAAGAGAGCAGTTTCTACACAAAAATACGCAGGCAATTTAGAATGCTTTACTAAAACAACTGGAAGATGATTTTGCAACTCTGCATGTATAGGTGTTTGCAAAAATACGAGCGTGCAAATGGATATGTATAAAATAGCCAAGATTTACCACGTACTTACTCTGTGTCAGGCTTTCATTGCAGTGTCTTATTTATTGTTCACATCAACCCTATGGGAGGGGTTTTACGTGATCAGTGACATTTTAACAGGTGAGAAAAATGAGGCTCAGGGTTTAGATGACTTGCTCAAGGTCACACAGCCAACAAGTGTCAGAGCAAACCTTTAAAACCCAAAGTGTCTTTGTATAACACCCCTGCATTTTCTCCTATATTTTACTGACTCCCAGGACTTGCAGGCAAACAGACATGTGTCTGTATGTGCATATATTTGACACACATGATACAATGTGTATATTTGGGTTCGTGTTCCTACACCGCACAGCCTAGCTTCCAAAAATAACTATAGTGAGAGATAACACTTGCTAGGAAATAAATGAAAAGCTTCAAATGCACCATTTCATTTAATTCTCACATTAATGTTATATGATTGGTATGATTGTTTCCCTCTGATTACAGTGGAGAAACCAAGGTTTAGAAAACATAAGCAGCTCCCCCACAGGAATGAATAAGTGAATCAATAAATTTGAGAGATACTTCAATGGCAAATATGATGACCTATTGAATAACCTACATCAGGCACTGACTTTTTTTTCTGTAAAAAGCAGATAGATAGTAAATATTTTAGGCTTTGTGGACCAAAAGACAAAATTGAGACTCTCATGTAGGGACTGATATAACAGTTGAAAATATAACCATTAAGAAATGTCAAAACTACTCTTAGCTCTCTGGCCATCCCCAAAACAGGCAGAAGGCAGAATTTAGATTTGACTCACTGCCCAGAGCTTCTGACCTAACGTGGAGGTAGTTAGTTAGAAAAATGTTTGTTGACTTAAAGGCAAGCAACTGGGATTTGGAAAGAGAGAAGGATTTTGGATAACAGGTGAAGAAAGGAGGGCACGAGCATCCTCTTACATGTTGTAACCGTCTTCCTCCCTCTGACTTGTCCATTCACAACACTCCCCCTCTATGTGGAACTTCCAATGTTCCAACTGAGGTGAAATGAACAACTAAGGTGGGGCTATGATCAAGGTGGATTTGAGTCCCAGACCTTTGCATGTCTGTGTGTGGTGGGGGCAACGTGGGGGGTGCTTGGGGAGCCCTACTCCCATCAGGTCTTGAGAGATACATCCCTCCACCCATATTGATGAGCCTGGGTACAAATTCAACCTACCATCAATCTTCTTTGCCTTTTGATGCTTTATTTTTTTTCCAGGTTTCCTCTGTGACTGTTGATGCTCTGAGATTAAAACAAGGCAGGAGGCATCTACAGATAAAGGAAACACAGAAGCCCAGGCTGCACATGCTTTATTTGTTGTCTGATGATACTGCCCATGCTCAGTAGGAGGCCCTTTGGATGCCAGAGGCCCCTGAGATATGTGGTCTATCAAATCAACACTGTGCTGCTTATCTGAACTTCAATCCTGTGGCAGCACCAGTGACAGAGAGGTGCCAATTGCAGCTTCTCTGATTTGCCACCTTTGGAGTATCCAGGGTGAGCTAGATACAGGAGGGCATATTTCATTGCTGATTTTGACTGTAAGTGCACTCTCTGGGCAGACAAATCAATCTGAGAGCTGGCAACCCTCGGGTAGGATGGTCACTCACAGCGGCAGTATTTTTCACCTTTCCCTTTAGAGATCCTGGTGTAACAAAAAACGACTGGGTAGAGTATCAGAAGACCTGGCTGGCAGGCACCAGCCTGATCCCTTACTTCAGGGTGGCCTGGGGCAGTGACAAGACCTCTCTTCTCCTTATTCTTTTCATCTGTAAAATGTGAATCTTTTACAGATAAGAACCTTTGTGCCTTTTAATGGGCACAAGCCCTTCACTGAATTTTGCATAGAGCTGGGATGAAACCCAAAATTGTGGTTTAAAGCCCACTAAAGACCATGCAACTGAGGCTGGCAGAGATGTGGAGAAGAATCTGGGTTTTCCAACTCCAACTCCAATACCCTTTCCACTGCAAAAAGCATAATAACGCTCGTAGTTTCCTTGCCTGACAAGCCTGTGTTGAGTTTCGAAAGCATGTGAAAGCAGGTTGAGCAGGACAGAGCTATGGCATGTCCAAAGTTGTTGCACTAGACAGAGTTGTACAGAACCAACAAGAGGAGCTAAGAATGGACTTTAGGGCTGGGCATGGTGGCTCATGCCTGTAATCCCAGCACTTCGGGAGGCTGAGGCAGGCAGATCATGATGTCAAGAGATCGAGACCATCCTGGCCAACATGGTGAAACCCCATCTCTATTAAAAATACAAAAATTAGCTGGGTGTGGTGGTGCACACCTGTACTCCCAGCTACTTGGGAGGCTGAGGCAGGAGAATCACTTGAATCCAGGAGGCGGAAGTTGCAGTGAGCCAAGGTTGCGAGACGGCACTGCAGCCTGGTGATGGAGTGAGACTCCATCTCAAAAAAAAAAAAAAAAAAAAAAAGAGCCTCACTTCCCAATGCAAAAAGAATAATAATGCTTATAGTTCTCTTGCCCAACAAGCCTGTGTTGTGTTTCAAAAGCATGCAAAAACAGGTTGAGCAGGGCAGAGCTACAGCATGTTCAAAGTTGTTGCACTAGACAGAGTTGTACAGAGCCAAGTAGAGGGGCTAAGAATGGACTTTGGAGCCTCACTGCTGTGGTTCAAATTTAGGCTCCACAAACGACAAGCTGGGTAGACTTGGAAAAGTGAATTAACCTCTCTGTGCCTCAGCTTCTACACATGTAGAGGGACATGATGACAGCAGCCTACCTTCCAGAGTTGTGGTAAGGATTAAATGAATACATACATGTAAAGCCAGACGCAAGGCACTTTGTAAGTATTGCTGCTGTTGCTGCTGCTACAATTCTTTATTATTTATGTCCAGCTCGAGTGGGGATTTCTCCAGCGACTAAAGAAGGTGCTCACCATGAAAAGCTCAAGGCTGAATTTCAATGCTCTAGTAAAACAATCAGACAAACATTTAGGTTGCAAACAAATGTCCCAAATGCTAAACTCTCCCTTTCCTACATCCTCCTCTATCTTTACGAAGCTCAAAGGACTTGACATCTTTTACAGGCACAAAAATATCAGCACAAGAATCCAACACCCACAAAACCCAGAAAGAAGGCACAATTCACTCCCAGCAAACACTGAGCATTACCAGAGCCATTTTTTTCATTGTGAGATAGACATTTTAAAATTTTTTCTTATTTTTAACAAGATGCCCTATTGTTCAGCCTAGTTGAGAGTGGTTTTATTCTGATTGATTAATACTGCAAAATAACTTGGCATCTTAGCCCTTCCAGGTTTTCTGCAAGGAACAAAGTGGCAGAGAGGATGAGGGAGCGTGCTCCAGGCTAGATACAATAGGCTGCCATCACCCAACCCACAAGGGCCGAAAACATCACCAAGGGGATAGAAGGCAATGAAAGGACCTTCCTTCTCTATAAAGTGCAGCAACCCATCCCAAAACCCCAGTATCTGCACATCATACCGTGTACTATGTCTTCAATTCATTCTGTACTCTATGGCCTAGGTCTGGATAACCAAGTCAGGCTTTTCATTTACAACAAGTCACTTTTCATGCCACAATTCACTGCCAGGTAAATACTTTCTTGATGAAATTGATGATCAAGTAGATTTACAAAGGCTGAGTGAGGCTTGCTGGTGAAAGAGTGGAAAGGAGTCTATGCAAACCAACACAGAAATGATCATCCTAAATATAAAAGGAAAAAAAGTAGAAGCAACCTAAATGCTCAACAACAGAAAATCAGTGTAGGGGACTGTTGAAGTCAGTGTGTTCTAAAATATGTGCTTTGAACAGTTCTGCTGAGATTATTATGCAATAAGATCATAGGTTGATAAGTAAATGAATCATAAAGTTTTATGTCCGGATATGTGTGAGAAATACTTAAACACATGTCTTGGCTTGCCTGCACATAGCATTTAATATGCTAATGCATTTGACACTCATTGGCTTGCTTCCTTTCAGATCCCTTCCCCATTTTTCCTCTCCATGGTTCTGTATTGCGGAGAGCTGATCCCCACAAACTACATTTCCCAGTCTCCTTTGCTAACTGGTTTCCAGTTAGTTTCAGTCAATGGGGAGAACTGGTAAAATCCTAGAGGGTGGGAATACGGGAAGAGCCAGGGTTTTTCTCTCTTCATGCTTTAAATGGTGTCTCTGGCAATGGCCTTGTCTTGTCCATGATTTCAGCTTCCCTGGCACAGTGTCTCCCTCCATGGCCCCAGGCCCCTCCAGACAGTCTCTGCTCTGGTTCTGAGTCCTGATCCTTGGTAGCTAAGCCATGAGACTTGCTGCTGATGGGAAAAGGTAACTAGAAGAAGAGGAAATTGTTCATTCCATCTGGCCCTAAAGGGTTGCAAGATGAAGGTGGAAACAGAAGAGGTAGGGTGAAACAATCAGAAGATGGGCCTGTAGAGTGCAGAAGAGTAACAGAGAAACGGCTGGTCCTGTTGCAAATTGGGTTCCCTGGGAGGGAGATCCTGAGACCAACTTTAGCCTAAGGATGTTTGTTAAAGAGTTCCTTTAGAATCAACACCTGTGGAAAGGAGGGGATACCCTATTAACAAGATGTGGAACAAGATTGGGCAGAGGGAAACATTGAGCTGTGATGCAATCCCAACATGGGACTCACTTGAGCCCATGAGAAGCTTAGGAGCAGGGATGGTCTTCAGGGATGTCCCAAATTGAGCCAGAAGCTCTGGGACTTTGTACCCCAAGTTTGCCAGTCATTGGATGCAGGTAACCCTGGAGGGAGTTATGACCTTGTGAAGACAGTTTTTTCAGTTCTCCAATGGTAGGAGGAATAAATTCTTCATTCCTTAAAGGAATCAGAGTGACATGTCATAGTGTTCAACAAAGTCCCTATTCTCATTTGTGATTTTAGTAAGTGATGTGTCTGGGGCTACCAAATGGGGATAAAGCTACATCCAAGTAGATTCAGTGACCATCACAATCGGGCTAACATGGACCTAGAGATTGAACTTTTCCAAGATACTTCTGGTTCCAGTGTAGAAAGGTAGGGACAAAGGAATTCCAGGGCAAGGAACACAACACAACTAAAGTGACAGCCAGTAGAGTGGGAATGAATTGCCACCCTGTTGTGGGAAAGTAAGGCAAATGTAGGGACTCAGAACGTCTACCATGGGGCCACGTCTAAGAACAAGGCTCAAATCTGGCACCTGCTCATGCTGGCACTGGCCGAAGGCTTCAGCTGTAAATGTAAGAGGCCAAGCTGCAACCAAGAAGACAGAAGATTCTGCCTGGGCTTCCCTAAGAGTTTGGCTTTTCCTTCCCTCAGGAAGTCATATAAAGTGCTGACCCTTCTTGCCCACTCAGCAAGACACCATTGTGGCATGGAGGCAGGAAGGAGAAGAACAGAATATATTTCTTTCCAAGGAATTGCACATTACCTAGGGAGATTAATATAAGGAAAAGTATCTAGTAAGAGATGGGATAAAAATGCTCAATTTTAGTGTGAGCTAAATTTGAGAGCCTTCTATAAAACCTAGATTTGTGAACTATGCCAAATTCCGTGCAAAAGAACCAGGACAGGGTTTGGCTGCTGATCCGCAGTTAACAGTGACTTGGAAAGGAAAGAATGAGTGGGGAGCACTGTGATGTCCAGGGCCTAGGATTCTTCTGTCCTTTTGTTCCTCCACGCACATCCCTCATTCGTAGATCTGTCTCAAGATTCAAGATGGAAGCATCTATGTTTCAGGTAGCAAGACGAAGCAAGGAGCAGAGAGAGAGCAAAGGCCACACATCAGTGATCTCTTAAGGATGGGTCCTGGATGCTGCCCCAGGGCACTGCCTCTTATATCCCAGTGGCCAGAATTTAGTCCATAAGCCCACTTCTAACAGCAGAAGAGGCTGGGAAATGTGACATCTATTCTGGGAAGCTGCGTGCTTAGGTAAAACTCATAGTGCAGTGCTATGGAAAAAGAAGAAAATTGCTCTCAGCAAACAGCTGGCAATCCCTGCTGCAGTGCATATAGCACATTGTAAGTGCTATCTAACTTAACTCTCATAGTAGCCCTAAGAAGTGTGTTGTGCCCATTGTACGGATGAGCAAATAGAAGCCAGTAGCGCCAAGCTTCTAGTCAATTATTAATAACACCATTTTGCTTTCAGCCTTTTTTCCCACCAAAGTTACTTGCTACAGGTAACATATTCAGCTTGTTGGGGGTTAATTTTTTCCATTTCTTTGGTGTTTCAGAGACAATATGCAGGTGAAAGAACCAGCCCCTCTTGGCTGACCTTGCTTTTTCTCCATAGCAGTCCTGGCTTTGTAAGAACCCTGAGCTCTGTTTGCTTTGCAATTACCCTGGGTGAAGGGGGCCCTCTGACATTTTCACATTGGAGAGGGACAGACACAGATCCTCAGCCCTCCCCTTGATTCTTTGATTGTCATTTCCTCTACCTTTAAAAGAAAATTACATAATAGCCATTACTTAGGCACCTTTCCAAAGTACTTAAACTACATTACTGCAAAAGGGCCCTATGAGGAAATAGCCCCAGATGTCACATGCCAAATTACAAAGAGAAAAATAGGAGTCGGAGCTTCCTTTACTGAGATCCCCTCACTGAACAGTGCCACATGGGCATAGGAATTGTGCTTATTGCCCACTCTGCAAAACCCAGGGCCAACTCAAACAGTATCACAGTCATTAATGAGACTTAGCTCCATTAGGCTAAATGTAAACATTTGCAACAAGTCTTCAAAGCCTCTGTTAAAAAAATATATACGTGTGTGTGTGTGTGTGTGTGTGTGTATTTCAGGATAATTTGAGCAATTAAAAGTGACTAACCACACTCACTTTTGTATCTGTCCCCTGTGGGACTGCTGCTCTGGGGCCAGAAATGGTCCTGCTCTTCCAAAAGGAAAGATATTCATCTAAATTAGGAGGTGGAATGTGACAAAGTTAGTCGTCACTTGTTGAATGATGAGTCAATATTTTTCTGTTGTTTTTGTTGGAATAGAATTTACTCAGATTTCTTTGGTCATGGCACCTCATTTTTTGCTGGGGTACCACCCCACCCCACTCTTGGTCCGTGCAGTTGGGCCAAGGTTGACTCTCTTCTCTTGAGTATGGCTAATTGGCATCATTCACACCCCTGGCTATAGTGCTTGATTCAAGGAAGGGCGTATGACCCAAGTCAGCTTAATGAGATTCAGACCTAGAACTTTTCCTGCAGATAGAGGGAAAGTGGGGGAGAAGTAGATGTCACTGTGCCTCATTATATTCCTCTGGTGCTGACTGTTTCCAAGTATGCTAACACCTTCTCCTTTGAGCATGAAAGACTGTAATGCTCTGAGCGCTTGCCTAGGGCACACAGAAGTGCTGTGAAGCTAATGCTCCTGGGAGCAGCCCCCAGCCAGTGGTGGATGGAAGTCAGAAAGTCAACAGCACAGCTCACTCATTTCTGGAATGAGATATGCATTCAACTGTGCCCCAGAGGTCTCAGCAGGGTGTGGACCGTATTTTTTCATACATGGAAGTGGGATTGAGCATCAAATGTCCACAGTGGTAACCTTCTTATTAATGCATCTTTCTTCCCTTCCCTTCTCACTTCGGTACTAGAGTTTTCTAGAGTCACTTGCCTGATAAATCACTTGCACTGGAATCCTTGTCTCAGAGTCTATGTCTGAGGGAACCCAGCCTAAGAAACAGAATTATATTTACACCACAGGGCAAGAACTTGCCTTAGGACACAGTCAGTGTAGAAGAGGTAGAGCTTAAAAGCAGAGACAGTGAGATAAATATTCCTGATGGCATCGTGTTGGGCATCTGGATACAGCCATGCCTGAAAGTTGCACTACACTTGAGCTTGCCCTTAGACAAAATGTGTAAGAGCTGGGATTCCAAGGACTTGGTTGTGAGTCTTTTTATACTGTCTTTTATGGTCCCAAATATCCATTCCCACTGTACTTGCATTAGCTCATACAGCCCTTGGATTCATTCCAAGGGCTACTGGACTTTGCCTTTACCAAGAGACAGTTAAAGCCACCAGGGTGGCATAGTTCAAATCCTTCACTGTAATTTCATGTAAATAACCTTCTGGCAGCTTCCTTTTCACTGTTGTGCTCTTGTCTGCCAGCCAATCTCAGGCCTGGGCTTCCCCCAGGAGATGTTAACTCATCGTCCCTTATCTGCTTGACTGACTGTCATCTTGACACATCATTGAGCTGGTGATGAAGCCCTTAATTAGTTCATGTCTCCAGGCCGCTTCTATTGCCACCTCTTCTTCTGTTTGCTCTTTCTAGGCTTCTCTCTTTTCTTCCCTTTACCATCTCCAAAGAGAAAATTCTACCAGGTATTCTATGCTAAGCACTTTGCAGTACTGATGAAATCATCCTCTCATCAGCCCTCTAAAATGGCAACTATGATCCTGAGTTTACAGAAGAAAAAACTGGCCCAGAGAGGTTGCACTTAGTGGTGTTAGTCCCAGACAAGACCTGGTTCAAGTCTCAGCTCTTTTACTTTCTTGCTGAGTGACCTTACAGGAGTAATTTAACCTTAAAGTTTTATTTTCCTACAATAGAAACAAAGAAATACTGACCTCAGGGGGTTGCAGTGATGAATGAATGAAATAATTATTACATAGCAGTTTGTTTAGGGTCTGGCACATTGTAGGGACATAGATATCATCATCATCATCATCATCATCACTGTTCATCTCTGAATCCAGAAAAAATTATATGCACAACATATGTGTCTATCCTTGTGTAGATTCATTTATTTTTGAGATAAGTGATTTAAAATAAGAAAAATAATGAATGCCTTATAAATGTTAAATCATCACAAAAACCTATTGAAGTGGTCCTGCCATGATCCCCAATTTACAGCAGAGAAAACTGAGGCTCAGAGGGGTAATGTCTCCAAGAACACAGTGCTGATAAGTGGTAGAGCTAAGAATTTAACCCACCATTTGATTCCAGGGCTGGTGTTTCCAGCTCCCACTATTTAACCAGGTAAGAATGTGCGTGTTTCATGGGCTCACCAAGCTGAATGGTGGAAGTGGTGGTTCTAGAATCCAGATGTTCTGAATCATAGTGTGTTATGTCATCACTTCAAACCAAACTTGTTAGGTCCCTGTATATCCTGAATTCAAAGAGGTCCACTTTGTCTGGTGCAACTTACAAATTTAGATGCTATGCTACAGTGGGGACCATTCACATCTCAGCAAGAACCCCTCAACTATTCACCAGCAGGAAATAGAGCAAGGTAAACATCTGACATAAAAAAAAATGCAACCCATTTTCAGAAAATGGAGCACAAGAATCCAAACAGTGCAGTTTGCCTGAGCACTGCAGGTCCACACCGATTGATGTAATTGTTTCAGGCATGCAAGGAGACATGGGAGAGGAGGTGAGGCTATGTATCCCACCCTGTTCTCCTGTCTGTGTGAGGGAAATAACCACCTCTCCTTGGAATGAAGATAGAGCCAGTGGTGAGGCCATTTTGCAGGGCAGCCTGAGGTTATCTGCATGGGGAAAACAACCCCCCAGTGAAGATTCTGGAAGGCCTGGCTTCTTTCTATGACTCCCACTTCCCAGAAGAGAAAGTCTGTTCTCTCCTGTGTGGTGTTGGTAATGAAGGGTGGGATAGTAACAGCCAGGATCTCATTCAGTTAAAGGATCAGTAGATAATCCATGGAAAGAGGTTAGCACAAGGAGTTCATGTGGTAAATCCTCAATAAATGCTTATTATTATTGTTACATTATAATTATTGATGAATGGTTTATAATTGGTACATTGTAAACCAACATTTACATTGTTAATACATATATTAAAATACTTATTAAGTACCAACTAAGAGGTAAGCATTGAGGATTCCATGGTAAATAAGTTGGACCAAGTTACCGGCCCTCAGGGTGCTTATGTTCTAGTGCAGAACTACCCAAAAGAAGTTCTTATGATGATGGAAATGATCTACATCAGTACTGCTTAATATGGTGGCCCCTAGCATCTTGTGGCTATTGGCTACTGAAGATACAAGGGGCTACTGAATACAGCCACAAGATACTAGGGGCTACTGAAATATGGCTATGCAACTGAGGAGCTGGATTTTAAAATTTTATTTGATTTTAATGAATTTTAGTTATATTTAAATATCCACATTTTGCTGATAGCTACCGTATTGGACAGCGCATATCTAGTGGATGAAAATAGATAATTATTTGCAAGTTTAAAACTAACATCTAAGGGAGGAATGAATTGAATAACAAATATCTAATGAGTATCAGGAAAGTGCTAGGCGTTGGGGATTTAGTGGCAAGTAAGCTGCACAAGTGGCTGCTCTGACGATAAGATATTTAAGCTAAAACCCATATGGGATGGTCTGGAACAATGAGAAGAAAGTGTTCCAGGCAGAAGGATCAGCAACACAATGGCTGTGAGGTGAGAACAAGCCTGGGATGTAAAAGGCATAGATAAAAAGCAAAAACAAGAGAGGATGAATTGCAGTGAGAGAGAACAAGAGTGTGGCATGATGTCAGAACAGGCAGAAACAGATCACAGCAAGACTTTTGGATTCAACTCTATGGGTACCTACCGGAGGGTTTTGCACAGGGTGGTAGCATGATGAGAATTATAATTTTAAAACATCACCTGGCTGCTCTACGATTGAATGGACTGTCCGAAAACTGGAGTCTATGAAGATCAACGGTTGCAAGGTTACTGGAGTCATTGAGGTAAGAGATGATGTCATAGACTAACATGCTTATAAAATATTCAGCGTAATGCCTGGCACAAAACCAGCATTTGCAAGATAACTATCATTATTTTGGAGGCTACTTATTTCCTGTGATGAAAACGATAGTTCACCTTAGCCAGCCAACCTGTCAAATTATATTCATAGAACACATGAATTCAAGGGGAGTTTCAGGGCATCTAGAATCAAGTCAGATGCAGTCTCCACCTTTAAGTAACTCAAGCATAACTGGGGAGAGAAATCCGATGTTCTGTAAATAATTAAAGAAGGTCTCAAGCTAGAGCATGACCAATGGGTAGATGGCATGAGCCCTCTCTGAGAGCTCTCCTAGCTCAATAAAAAGAAGCCACTGAAGAAGATATTGCACTATTCATTCCCTCAAAAGATCCTCCTCTTGGAAATTATCACCAAGCTTTTTCCACTTGAAAATCATTGATGCCTCTTCCAGGAGAAGATGAAGCCTAAATACACACAGATGAGCAGCCTAGACTCTGGTCCAACCATGTCCTTGCAGAAAGAAGATGAGCATGGATGTGTCCCAAATGCAATGAATGAAGAGGAATTTATTTTGTGGGAAGAGGGCAGGGGCATACTGGGAATAGGTTGCTGGAGTTCATTAAGCCATTTTTGAGCTAAAGAGCCATCTGTAGTGGATGTGATATGCCAACTTTTCTTGAAGGAGCTAAATGGTTAAGAGTTGCACCCAAAAGTCTCTATACCTCTCCTTCCACCTAATCGCAACCATCTGAGGCTCTAGTGCTTCCAGAAGTTAGAAGGCCTCCTCCTTGATACTGGCTGAATGCAACCATTTTTCTAATTAAACCATAAACCCAGATGTCTAACACAAAAGGACAAAGGAGGAGAAAACAAAGAAAAGACGATTTGGTTATTGCAAGACGTTGGGGCATTGGAAACCTATGCTTTACTCAACCTCCATTCATTATCCTTCATGAGTTGCTTTTTTGTTTGTTTGTCCTGATTGTAAATGGAAAATGAAAACTTTCCCCCAATTTCCCACTTTGAGACAGACAATGACATGATTGGCCCCGCGTGGACTGAGTGTCTCTGGGCAACCGAGATTTGAAATGTCCTGCAGCCTCGGTAGTTTTTGTGGAAAATGGGAGGACACAATATCTATTTTACAGGTCTGTTGTGAAGATCAATGTGAAAAATATATGTAAACAGTTTAGCACTGGGCTGGCACACAGGGGTGTTCAGCAAGGCTTGGGCAGTATATGCTTCACGTGCATTAAAATATTAGAATAGGCTGGGTGCAGTGGCTCACACCTGTAATGCCAGCACTTTGGGGGGCCGAGGGGACCGGATCACTTGAGGTCAGGAGTTCAAGACCAGCCTGACCAACATGGTGAAACCCCGTCTCTACTAAAAATACAAACATTAGCCTGGTGTGGTGGTGCGCGCCTGTGATTCCAGCTACTTGGGAGGCTGAGGTATGAGAATCGCTTGAACCCAGGAGGCAGAGGTTGCAGTGAGCTGAGATTGTGCCACTGCACTCCAACTTCGGTGAGAAAGCGAGACTCTGTCTCAAAAAACAAACAAAAAATATTAGAATAGCAAGGACTAGGTCAGTACCCAGGGCAATGCCTGCCCTATTGCAGGCCCATGGTGCATGGGATACTGAAATTGAATGTTTATAGTTGCCCAAAGACCAATCTTTCAAGAGTGATGCATTTTCAGATGAGAGGCAGAAGGGGTAACTTGCATTTGAGCAATGCTTTCTGACTTTTCACTGTCACTGTATCTGAGTTTGAACCACAGCTCAGCCATTTAGGATCTGGATAGCCCCAGGCAAGCAACTTTTCTTCTCAGGATTCCAGGTTTTAAATCGCTAAAGTGGGGATAGTAATACATCCTATCTCATAGTGCTGTATCTTAATCTTAACCTTAATCTTAATCTTGTGCTTTATAGAGCGTAACATAACAATGGCTACCACAGTCATTATTATTCACATAAAATCCATTTTGCAACAGTATAATTATTGGTGTCAATAGCAATGCCCACGCGGATTTTTAGGTAGCATTGATGTGACTTAGTGCCAGATCAAAGAGTAAGAAATATTTGAGTGAAAGATTACTACCAGCTCGATGCAGACATCCTCTCAAAAAATATTTATTTATTCCCCTACCGTGTGCCAGGCACTGGCCTAGAAACCAGTGACACAGAAGTAAATATGACAGACAAGGTCTCTGGTTCCATTGAACTTCATCAGGGGCGGGTTTGAGAAATGAGACCACAGATAGAAAAAACATTAAGGTATGAATATTCAACATATCAAGTAGTGATTTGTTCTACGAAGAAAAGCTGCGCAGGGTAGAGTAAAAGGTGATGGAGAGTTATATGAAAGTATGACTTAAATGAATGGTCAGAAAAGGTCTTTCTGATAAGATGGCATTTGAGCAGCAACCTGGAGGAGGTGGGAGGGTGGCTGTTGATATCTGTAGGAAAGAGCATTCCTGGAAGATGGAACAGCAAATGCAAAGGCCTTGAGGCTAAAGGGAAACCAACAAAATGGAAATCTAGGTGTTTTCCAGTAGAGTTGAGGATGTCTGGGGAAGGTCCCTCACATTGCAAAGTAAATGTTGCAGAGTAGGTACACGATTCATTGTCTTTGGGGTCAGTCTCAGAACGCCGCTTGGTAGCATCATTCATCTGAGCCATTATGCTGAGAAGACTCAGTTCTCATTTCTAAATAACTTAGGGATTCCAACCAGTGGCCTTCCAGTTTCTCTGGAAGCCAGACCCTTGTCATCTGCTAGAAATAGTAATGTCAGGCCGGAAGGCACCAGGGCCCCAGCTTCAGCCCCCATGACACATCCTGGCTGAGAGATGTGTTAGGCAGACCCTTGGGAACAGCTTCTGCCTGACGGCTTCCCTGAGACTGAATGCCAGCAACTCCCATGGATAACTCCCTGGATTGCATCATCTGTGATGTCTGGGGCCAGAGCACCCCAATTAGCAGCCCTCTGCTGCACAGATGGTTGGGGGACACAGGAGAACAGAGCGGTCAGCAACTTGGGTGGCTCTTCTGGAGTACAGCCCCTCTCTCTGCTCAGCAGGCGAAGGCCATGTCTGGCCTCAGAGTAACTGTTTCCATCCCCATAGCTGCAACCCACCACCTCCCGGAAGCTGGGAATTCCCTTAGAAGACCAAAGGTCTGAGATGTGCAAAAAAGGATAATTTGATGGAATGTGTCCTTTTCCCATGCCAGTTCTCATTGGTAGGCAGTCCAAGAGGCTTGGGTCCCAGAAGTGAGCTGGAATCAGAGGAATGTGCTCAGTTATATGCAGTGTGCAGCTCAGCAGCTGCATTCCAAAGTTATGTCCAACCAGGGACTCTTGAAGATGCCTTCACACAGTGATGGAGCTGAGTGCCCCCAGCACCTGCTAGGTGCCAGCCGCCATGCTGAATTCTTTACATGCAGAGTTTCCTTGAGTGCTCACAAGAGCCCTGCGAGGGAGAGGCTATTGTCATGAGGCCTTCTTTCTGCAGACAGGCAACATTGAGGCTCAGCGAGGTTAAGTAACTGCCTGTAAGTCACATATTTATTAAGACAGAATCAGGACTTGAACTTAAGTGGTTTGAATCCAGAGCTCATAACCATTATACACTAGCATAGCTCCCATCTCCTTTTGTCCTAGTCATATAGACTGCGGATTGGCACACGTTTTCTGTAAAGGGCAGGATAGTAAGTATTTTTGGCTTTACCAGCCGTACAGTCTCTGACCCAACTACTCTAGAGCACTTCTGTGCTGCTATAATGGAAAAGCAGCCACAGACAATATTTAAGTAGATGATGCATGTGGCTGTGTGCCAGTAAATCTTTATTTACAGAATCAGGCAGGAGGCTGGAGTTGGCCCATGGGCCATACTTTGTTAATCCCTGCTGCAGATGGTCACCCACTCTGCCTTCCATGGAGCTTCATGGTGCCTTCACTGGACTTCTTTTTGTGAGTCTCTCCCCTCACTTGGTTAAGTTCCTTGTGGGTTGACATTTAGACGTGTTTACCTCTGCATTTTTGGCCCTCAAGAAAGATATTTGAATTGATGAATGAATAAGTGACTGAGTGAATGAATGATATGAGGATCAAAATTGCCCCACAGCTATGGTTAGATCAAACACCCAGATCTTAGGCTGGGTTTCCCTGGAACCAGAACTTGGCACAAATGCAAGAAGGTTGGGAACTAATCTCAGGAAATATTGGTAGGGGAGATTTGAAGGGAGGCAAGGAAGGTAAGTGGCCTATCAAGGGTGTGATATTGAGCAGGTTACAGCTGTGGGCAGCTGGAGTTCAGTCTCACTGGGAAACTCTGGGAGACTGGGTAGAGCATGCATCAGCTCTACCAACAGAGGGGCTTCAGGGCTGTTTCCAGGGGTATTGGCTTTCTAGCACCTCCAGGTTTCCCTGAGCATGGCCAACCATGCTCCTTGGCCAGAAAAATGTCAGAAGAGAGATACAGGTTTTCAAATTAATCTAAGATGATCTAAGCAGGGATTTGTTCACTGGCCAAAAACAGCTTGCTGCCTGTTCTTGTAAATAAAGCTTTATAGGAACACAGCCATGCCTATTTGTTTATGCACTGTCTTTGCACTGCAATGGCTGAGTTGGGTAGTTGTGACAGAGAATGTATGGCCTGCAATGCTGAGAGTATTTACTATCTTCCTCTTTACAGAAAAAGTGTGCTGGTCTCTGGTGTAAGAGATATGGGAAGGGCACTGACAGCATCTTCCAAACAGTTTAAATCATGTGAATTACTTACACTAGAATCGAGAAAACTGGGATGTTGCACTTGAAAATTTCCAGTTATGGCTTCCATGGAAAGAGTAAAAATTCTTGCTTTCCATTGTCTTTCTTATTTTTTATTGCAGTGAAACACACACAACATGAAATCTATCCTTGTAACAATTTCTAAGTGTAAAATATTGTTAACTATAAGCCTGACATTGTACAGCAGATCTCTAGAGCTTTTTCATCATGCATGAGTGCAATTCTACACCCATTGAACAGCAATTCCTGCTCTTCCTCCTCCTCCAAGCCCTGGCAATCACCATTTTCCTTTCTGCATCTATAACTTTTAATATTTTCAATATTTTATATAAGTGGATTCATGCAGTATTTGTCCTCCTGTGAGTGGCGTGTTTCACTTAGCATAATGTCTTCAAGGTTTATCCATGTTGTAGCATATGTCAGAATTGCCTTTCTTTTTTGGGTTGAATAATATTCCATGGTATGTATGGTTTTATCCATTCACTCATCCATGAACATTTAGGTGGTTTCCATTTACTGGCTATTGTGAATAATATTGCAGTGAACGTGGGAGTGCGAAAATCTTTTCAAGATTGTTTTTAATTCTTTTGTGCACAGGAAACCAAAGCAAAAATAGACATCACTGAAAGGCTTCTGCACAGCAATGAGCACAATCAACAGAATGAAAAGACACCTACATATTTGGATAAGATACTCGAAAACCATACATCTCATAATATCAGCTATTTTAATGTCCAAAATATATAAGAAACTTCTACAACTCAATAACAAAAATAACAACCTGATTAAAAATGGGCAAAGGACTTGAATAGATATTTCTCCAAAGAAGGCATACAAATGGGCAACAAATATATTAAAAGGTGCTCAACATCACTAATCATCAGGGAAATACAAATCAAAACGACAATGAGATATCACCTCGCACCTGTTACAATTGCTATTACTTTAAAAACAAAACAAAACAAAACAAAACATAATGAGTGTTGAAGAGGACATGGAGAAAAGAGAACCTTTGTACACTGTTGACAAGCATGTAAATGGGTGAAGCCACTATGGAAAAGAGACTGGAAGTTCTTCCAAAAATTATAAATAGAAGGACCACATGATCCAGTGACCCCACTTACTTTCTATTCACTGATGGCAAAAATCTGTTGTTGCTACACAAAAGGAGACTTCTTCAGAGGGGGTGGGGACTGCCCATTTTATTTTACTTATTTTAAAACAATTTTTTTTGAGACAGGGTCTCCCTCTGTTGCCCAGGCTGGAGTGCAGTGGCATGATCTTGGGTCACTGCAGCCTTGGCTTCCAGGGCTCAAACAATCCTTCCACCTAAACCTCCCGAGTAGCTGGGATTACAGGCATGCACCACCATGCCCACATGATTTTTTCTTTTTATTTTTTAGAGATCGAGTCTTGCTATGTTGCCCAGGCTGCCTGCCCACTTTACATCATCTTCCTGTTTGGGTCTATACAGTTCACTGTGTTTGTTCTTATGCCACTGCCACCTGCAATCGCCCCACTCACCACCCTCCACCCCCAGAATGTGAGTTCATGACACCTCAATGAGAAGTATCACCAAATCCATTTCAGGAAGTGTATTAGTCTGTTTTCATGCTGCTGATAAAGACATACCCAAGACTGGGTAATATATAAAGAAAAAGAGGTTTAATGGACTCACAGTTCCACGTGGCTGGGGAAGCCTCACAATCATGGCAGAAGGCAAAAGGCACATCTTACTCTGCAACAGGTAAGACAGAATGAGAACCGAGTGGAAGAGGTTTCCCCTTTTAAAACCATCAGATCTCATGACACTTATTCCCTACCATGAGAATAGTATATAGGAAACCGCCCCCATGATTCAATGATCTCCCACTGGGGTCCTTACACAACACATGGGAACTATGGGAGCTACAATTCAAGATGAGATTTGGGTAGAGACACAGCCAAACCCACTTTCTTAAATTGGAATCTGACTCTGTGACTCCCCTGCTTCAAACTTACCCATCCTGGATCCTCTCTCATGGGGCGCTGGCCAGCCAGTTTTCTCTTTCTCTGTTGCACTCTCCCTCTATACAGCCTGATGTAGACCCTTGGACATACCCTCCTCTCATGTTTTCTGGGTGTTTTACCCAAGTGTTGCCACTGCCTGAAACTTGGGGCCCTGCTCCTCCTTTTCCACTCTGCTGAATCCTTCCAGGCTTCAGCATCATTCTTGGGTGTTATGAAAATTATCCCAAGTCAGGCACGGTGGCTCACTCCTGTAATCCCAGCACTTTGGGAGGCCAAGGTGAGAGGATTGCCTGAGCCTATGAGTTCAAGACCAGCCTGGGCAACATGATGAAACCCCATATCTACAAAACACACAAACAATTATCCTGGTGTGGTGGCACACATCTGTAGCCCCAACTACTCAGGGGGCTGAGGTGGGAGAATCACCTGAGCCTGGGAGATCAAGGCTGCAGTGAGCCATGATCATGCCACTGCACTCCAGCCTGGGTGACAGAGCAATACCCTGTCTCAATCAAAAAAAGAAAGAAAGAAAGGAAAGAAAGAAAGAAAGAAAGAAAAGAGAAAGAGGAAGGAAGGGAGGGAGGGAGGAAGGGACCATACTAGACTGTCCAAGAGGCCACAATGACAGTCTATGTCTGAAGTACTGCCACACATTAACTATTATGCACCCCCCTGGTGTGGGCTGCAATTCTGGAAGACTCTGATTATTGCAGACAAAAACCACACTCCCTTCTCAGTTAAGCATCTTTTCCAGGGTTTTGTCTTCCGGGCATTTATTCTTTCCTTGCTTTCTCAGGTTCCCATCTAAATATTGGAGCCCTGTGTCTTGAAGCAGAATCAGTCTGGGGGAACACCCTTTACCATAATTCTCCCTCTTTTCTGGAACAAAGACAATATTCCCTTTTCCTCCAAAAAAAAATATCATGCTATAGTAAAGAGCATTAAAGTAGAACATGGTTGTTAGAATTAACCTTGGATTTGAATTGAAGCTTTGCCATTTATTAGCTATGCCACCTTCAATAAGTTTCTTAGACTCTAAGAGTTTTTTAGTTTTCTCATTTGTACAATGAGCACAATAAACAGGTTGTTGTGGGGGTTGAGTGAGCTAATGTGTATAAACACCAAGCACAGACCATGGCTCAGTGTGAGTAAGGATAAATGCTAAGTGCATCAGTTACCAATGCTTTGGGCTACAAGTGACAATATTCCCATTTAACAGTATCTTAATTCAAGCGTGTGTTATCTCATTCAACAAAAAGACTAGTGGTAGGCAGTTCCTGGGCTGACTCAGTGTTTCAACAATGTCATCAAAGGCCCAGCTTCTTTCCTTATTTTACTTGGTCATCCTTAGTATAGTGGCTTTCCGTGATCATACTTACACCTCATGGTCACAAGATAGCTGCAGCAGCTTCAGGTATAATATTCCCAAATTGCAGGAAGCAGGGACAAGAGTGACCCAACCATCTTATAAGGTTTTTACCTGGAAAGGAAGCCTCATGTCTTCACCAGCCTTCTTCCTTCATTTCATCAGCTGACACTGTTCACCTCCCAATCAGTCCCTGGAAAATGGGAGTAGGATTATAGGAATCATAATATGAGCCTATTATGCTCATCCCTGAGACTAAGGAAATGTTCTCCTTTCCTCCAAATCTAGAAATCTTCGATCATTACAAAACTGGTTACATTGGCTCAGAAGAAGGGGATGTGAGGTTTTTGAGTGAGTGACGACATCTATCACACTCACAATCAGTTTTAGGAGCAATTCACAGTAAGGTCCAAGCTACCAGAGCTCCTGAAACAGCTTGAAACTTGTGCTAAGACTTTGAGGTATGAGGCATGGGTAGAGCTGGGAGCTGAGGCCACAGTTGGGAGCCTGTCATTCATTCTTAATACCTAGCCTCAGAGGAGCAGGTGTCAGCCCCAGAGCTGAGGCTGGAGGGGCCCTTGGGGAGAAAGAGGTGAGGAGACAGGTGTGAAAGGGAAGGAAAATTTAGCAAACAAGTTTCGCCTCCACCCAGGAGTGAGATTCCTGTGGTTTGCAAACTCTGGAATCTCTCACACTGAAGCCACAGACAACTGCTGAGGCTTTTCAGAGCTTGCCCTCAAAGTCATTCTTGGGCATCATCTGGGGAATATGAACTTCCTCAACCCCCACCTCCAAACTAGGTCTTCTGCTGCAAGAGACTGTATGAAGAAGTCTGAAGCATTTCTAAGACAAATTAAGCCCATCGAGCTCACACCTTCCCTGGACTACACAGCGCATTTCATGGTATGAGAGGCCCTAGGCAAGACATTTGTTCTTCTCTAGATAAAGGTGTTTTGAGATCTAGAGATGAAAGAAAATATAAGAGACACGAGTTGGGCACTTGTCATTCATTCATTCAATCATTCATTCATTCATTCAATAACTATTTATTGAGTGCTTACTATGTGCCAGGCACTATTCTAATTGGTTGGGAATCAGTAGTGAAAAACAGGTAAAAATCACATTCTTCATGAAACCTAGTTTGTGGTGGGGAAAACAGGCAATAAGATAAATAAGAAAAATGTATTGATATTAATTGATATTCCACCCATGGAACTTCTCTTAACCTACTTTCCACTTATGAAATAGTTCTCTGTTACCCAATATTTATTGCATGCCAGGCTGCAATAGTTAGTTTTATGTGTCAACTTTGCTGTGGTCCCAAAGCCCAGATATTTGGACAAACATTATTCTGGATATACCTGTGAGGGTGCTTTTTGGATAAAATCTATGTTTAAATTAGTAGACTTTGAGTAAGGCAGGTTGCCCTACATACTGGGAGTGGGCCTCAGCCAGTCAGTTGCAGGCCTGAAAAGAGCAAAGACTGACCTCACCCGAGCAAGAAGGAATTGGGCTAGAAGATAACCTTTGCACTCGAACTGTAACATCGACTTTTCTCTGGGTCTCCAGTCTGCAAATTTTGGACTTGCCAGCCTCCGTAATCATGTGATTAAACTGCTTGAAATAAATCTCTCTATATAATGTATACATATCCTATTGGTTCTGAACTCTGACTAAAACACAGGCATTGTGCGCTAAGTGCTTTGCAGTTACTAACCTGATTGAATTCTCACAACCCAGTGAGGTCTTTTTATTTCCACCGCCCTCTTTGCAGATGAACAAAGCGTGGCTCCAAAAGTAAATTGCCAAGGCTACACATCAAGTAAGCAGCAACATCAGGATCTAAACCTAGGGCTGTGTGACATCAAGGTCTACACCCAAAATCTAACACACCCATTCAGCCCCATTTGCCACATGATGTCTGTCCCCACATCTCATGTTCCCCAAGGATTCCCATGTGGGAGCGTGAAGGGTCTCCCACACAGTAGAGGTGCAGTGATATATTTCCCACCTCTTTTTGATAACGGGTGAGTAGTATAGCTTGAATTGGATTCCTTATGACAAGATTACAAGAGAGCACCTTGTTTAAAATCTCTCTACCCTGATCCATTGAGAAAAATCTCTGTCCCTAGGATTAGGCTGAACAGAAAGTTCAATGAGTCAAAGTTGTTCTGGTGTGCTTTGAAGAAAAAATACTGTAGTGAAATTTCACTATCGGTATGGACTAGGACATGCTTTATATAATTGTGGGGCAAAAAGTATAGCTATATGAGTTGCACTGCCTAGGTTCAAATCCCAGCATCCCCACATACAGGCTGGGTGATCCCAGCCAACTTCCTTAACCACTCTGAGCCTCAGTTTTCTCATGATAACTCTAATAATAAAAATTCACACTTCCCGCTCCCCAAGAGGCATAATGAAGCTTAAATACATCAGCACACACAAAGCTGTTGGGACAGTTCCTGGCAAAAATATAAGTATCCAAGAAATGTGATATATATTCACCATGGAATACTATTCAGCCATAAAACAGAGTGAAATAATGGCATTTGCAGCAACCTGGATGGAATTGGAGTCCATTATTCTAAGTGAAGTAACTCAGAAATGGGAAACCAAATATTGTATGTTCTATGTTCTCACTTATAAGTGGGAGCTAAGCTATGAGAATGCAAAGGCAGAATAATGATATAATGGACTTTGGGAACTCAGGGAGAAGGGTGGGAGGAGGATGAGGGATAAAAGACTACACATTGGGTACAGTGTCCACTGCTCGGGTGATGGGTGCACCAACATCTCAGAAATCACCACTAAAGAACTTATCCATGTAACCAAACACCACCTGCTCCCCCAAAAGCTATTGAAATAAAAAGTGTGTGTGTGTGTGTGCGTGTATATATATAGTATATAGTATATATATATAGTATATTATATATATATATAGTATATAGTATATATATTGAAAGCACTGTGCCAAGTGCTTTGCAGTTACTGTCTTAATTAAATTCTCACAGGTATAAGTATCACAAGTTTTATTGGATAAATATCCAATGAACATTGGTTCTTATTTTGGGAGTAGCAGAGTTTAGGGTGTGTGGAATTCATACAGTGTGTATGTGCATATGTGCGTGTGGTGGGGTGCTAGTTAAGGAAATAAACAGACATTTGCTAAAGAATCTGGGGGATTATGCAGTGAGGGGCCCCAGGGCCACAGGGCCCAATGTCTGCCAGCCCATAGGGTTATTCCCTGTGGTAGCAATATATTTTCCATCAGTGTCTCCAAGTCCTCAAAAAAATACATGTCTGAGCATAGGGTTTCCTTTATTTCCAAGTCTCATTTGATTATGTTCCTGACAGTGAGAAATCTCAGGATTTCTCACACCTTACAACGGTGTGACACTTAGAGAACAAGATTGCTGCAAGCACTGCCTCTGAACTTGGGCATCTATGGACTCCTCTCTGGGTCCTAGAGCCAACAGCACCTGTAATGGTCTCTCTCAATCCCCAGGCTCTTCTACCTAAACATTAGACAGGCTTAAGAAATAACTGCTGAAGGGGCAGGGTGAGCCCTCATAAGCCCAGCAGTGATTGTAGCTGGGGTCAAGTGTTTTTAAGAGCAGGTTTTAATTTTTTGATATTGCTCTCTTGGGTAACAGAGGTGTGTTTTGTTTTGTTTTTAACAGAATACTCAACGAAGAGTGAGGCAGAGAAAAAAATAAAAGAAAATGGAAACAGCACTTCCACTGTCTGTGCAAATGATGATTTATAGTTACATGTGATGATTTTCACTTTGAGGTGTTTGCATTCTCCCCTTCCCACTTGACCCTCACCACAGTTCTGCGACATCAGCTAGGCTGGTGTGAACAGCTCTATGTTATAGATGGGGCAGTTGAAGTCCACAGGATTTAAAAGGGCATCCTTAGGTTGCACAGAGTGAGGAGTGAACCAGAATCTAAATATCTTAATGCTTTGTCTTATGCATTTTTTATTAAATAACAGCATTCTTGGAACGTCTGGGTATTTTAAGCTCCATTTTACAGATGAGAAAATTGAGTCCCCCTAAAATGCAATGGGTTGTCCAAGATCACTTCAGTTATAATAATAGGAGGAGGAGGAGGACGAGGATGAGGAGGAGAAGGAAGAGAAGAAAGAGAAAGAGAAGGAGAAGGAGTAGGAGACGAACAAGAGGAAGAGGAAGAAGAAGAAGGAGAAGGAGGAGGAGGAGGAGGGAGGCGGAGAGGGGAAAGGGGAGGGGGGGAGGGGGAGGAAGTGGAGGAAGAAGAAAAAGAAGAAGGACGGGGGAGAAGGAGAGGGGGAGGGGGAGGAAGAGGAGGAGAAAGAGAGGAAGAAGAAGAAGAATTAAGAATTAAGAATGACAGGGTGTATCAGTCATCCTCGGTTATATTATGCTATGCTAACAAGAAAATCCCTTAGGGGCATGTAAAAATATTCCTCACATACACTATGGCCATTGTGGGTCAGCTTCAGCTCAACTCTAGATTCTGGGCCCAGGCTGAAGGAGCAGGCTCTGTCTGAGGTATTTTCAGTCTTGTTCCTTTTTCCAGGAGAAAGACTGATGGTGATGGAACACTCAGGGGCTCTTAAGGCTCATGCTCAGAGGTGCTCGTCACTCATCCTTCACTGGCCAAAGGAACCCATGTGATAAGCATGGTATCAATGGGACAGACAGTTATAATTCTCCCATCTGAAGAATCTCTTTAGGAAAGATGCCATAAAGACAGGAACACACATTTTTAATAATGTCCATTCTATCACTGTGGGAATTGAAGACACGCAGTGAAGGTCTTATCGACTGCCATGCAGAAGGTTCTGCAGAAGCAAAGGCCAGGTGGCTAAATGAGACACAGAATCAGAGAGCAATGGGGCAGGTCTGGCTGGAGGGGAGGGTTCATGTAGGCCAATTTGACTCTGGGTCAGATTCCTCATTACACTGGGCAGGTCAGGCACCGACAAACACAGGGACAGTGGATATATCTCAGCTACAGCACAGTTTACCACATCTGGAAAAAAGAGCAGTCAAGTGCCCTTAGACTGGATGTTATGGGTCCCTCGTGTTAGACTCATCCATGGCTCTCCGCACCTCTTGGGTAACCTACGAATCTAGTTATTCCATTATCACCTTCAAGAATTGTCCTGCAGGCTCATGTTTTTGTGTTTTATTTTCATAAGTTTTGCCTTGTCCTCATTCCACCGATAAAATAAGTTAACATTATTCATTGAAAGGTACTTGCTTTTATAACATAAACAGATTTATGTAAGGTATTAGTTCCTAGGGCTGTCCTAACACAGTGGCGCTGACTAAGGGGCTTAAGCAACAGAAATTTCTTTTCTCATAGTTGTGAAGGCTGGAAGTCTGAGATCAAGGTGTGGGCAGGGTTGGTTCCTTCTGAGGCCTCCCACCTTGGCTTGTAGACGACATCTTCTTCCTCTGTCTTCCCTCTGTACCTTTCTGTGCCCTAGTTGCCTCTTCTTATAAGGACATCAGCCCTATTTGATCAGGGCCCTCCAAAATGACCTCATTTTAACTTAACACCTCTTTAAAGGCCCTGTCTTCAAATACAGCCACATTCTGAGCTACCAGAAATTACAATTTCATCATATAAATTTGGGCACCCAATTCAGCCCATAGCATGTTCCAAAGAAATATTATACCATAATCATATTATACTATCACCATAAATAGAAAAACACTCAGTTGCCATACATAGAAGAACCTAGAACCGTGCCCAGCACATTAATAGGTGCTCAATATTTATGAAATAAATGATTGAATAATAGTAAAAATAACCACAAATGGGGCAAAATTATTTTGTAACATTCTAAGTAGTTGATTATTAAAAGCTTGGAGCCTGATGTTCCTCTTTTTTAAAGTTGGGAGAGTACAAGTGCTGGAGGGGTGTTAAGGGCATGTTAGCACTAACAGAGACTTTCTGCCCTGCTCAATTAGAAAAGCAAAGACATAATAAAGACAGTAAGTTTCTCTTCATGCAATTCTGTGTCATTTTCTCCTAATGTCTTCTCACATCCCATTGGAGGCTTATGTTTCGCACTTGGAAAAACGTGGGCCTGCTCATGGGACAAAGCCACACTCTTACGAGAGAGCATAATGTCCTCCTGATCTCTCTCCAATCTCTCTCTCCAGCCTCACGGCTGCCTGTTTTCCCACACCTTACACTCTAGTGGGCTCATGTGAAGCAACTGAAGCATGGCAAGTTGTCTCATTCCTTTCTGTGTGCCTTCATACATCCTCCTACCTCTGCTAGAAACACCTTTCCTTACTCTGCTGGCTGGGTGAACTCCTCTTCATCCCTCAAGACCTATTCAAGAATGCCCACAGTGGCCGGGCACGGTGGCTCACACCTGTAATCCCACCACTTTGGGAGGCCAAGGTGGGAGGATCACAAGATCAGGAGATTGAGACCATCCTGGCTAACACAGCGAAAACCCCATCTCCACTAAAAAAAAAAAGTACAAAAAAAAAAAATCAGCCGGGCATGGTGGTGGGTGCCTGTAGTCCCAGCTACTCGGGAGGCTGAGGGAGGAGAATGGCGTGAACCCAGGAGGTGGAGCTTGCAGTGAGCCAAGATCGCACCACTGCACTCCAGCCTGGGTAACAGAGTGAGACTCCGTCTCAAAAAAAAAAAAAAAAAAGAACGCCTCTAAAAGATGGGAGAGACGGAAAAAATGGAATGCAAGCTAGCATTTGCAGCATAATTCCATCTTAATGGACAAAAATACAAATATAGTTCTGAAATCCATGCATATGAACATATTAAAGCATGATGGGAATACAGCAATCTATTTTTGATTATCTGTAGTTTCTGATTTTTTTGACAGCCAATATGTATTCTTCTGTAATGGTAATAAATAGCTACTTTTGATATTTTCAAAGAGCAAGTGTCTACAGGTTTTCTTTTGGGAACTCTTCTTGAATAATACCCTGCCCCTCAAGACCCATGCACACACACACATGCACACACAAGCCCCAGGCAGGCAAAGACATTAACAGTCTTTTCTGCTAACCTTGCGTTTTGCCCATAAATTAATTAGTTCACTAATCATTCTATTTGGGAATTATCTATTAATTTATTTCCTCCCCACCCTTGCCTGAGAGGCAATATTGTTAGATGTTAAGAGCATGGATCCTAGAGCTGCACTGTCCAGTGTCAAAGCCTGGATCTACCCAGTCTCCATTGGCTCACTGACTATTAAGCATTATCCTATGCAAGGTGCTTTAGTTGGCAGGTGGGATACACTTGTATTCAGAACAGACAATGAATCTGCCATTCCAATGATAGGGTGGACCACCGAGACAGTCATCTGTAAGCATAATAAATTAGCAAAATCAATAGTATACTAGAAGGCGCACATCAGGCTGTGCAAAAATGAAAATGCGGAGCACAGGGAGAGAGATTGAGAGTGTGGAAGGAAGTGAGTGAGGGAAGAGATAAAAATTTAATGAGGGTGGTCAGTTCTTACAGAGAAGGGAAATTTTGAGTAAGAACTTGCAAGGAGAGAGGGTGTTATCCATGCAGATAACTGGTAGAGGAGCATTCCAGGGTAGAGATGGCCAGTGTAAAAGCAGGAGTATTCTTATGTTAAGAATTGAATTGCGCCCCCATAAAATCCATATGTTGAAGTCCTACCCACTAATGTGACTGTATTTGGAGAGAGGACCTGCATGGAAGTAATAAGGTAGAATGGGGTCATAAGGGTGGGGCTCTAGTCCAGTAGGATGAGCCCCATCATAATGGCAGAAGAGGCAGAGAGACCAGAAGCACTTGAGCACAGAGGAAAACCATGTGAAGATACAGCAAGAAGGCAGCCTTCTGTAAGCCAGAAAATGAGCCCTCATGGCTGGGTGTGGTGGCTCATGCCTGTAATCCCAGCACTTTAGGAGACCAAGGCGGGTGGATCATGCAGTCAGGAGATCAAGACCATACTGGCCAACATGGTGAAACCCTGTCTCTACTAAAAATATAAAAATTAGCCAAGTGTGGTGGCCTGTAGTCCCAGCCACTTGGGAGGCTGAGGCAGGAAAATCACTTAAACCCAGGAGGCTGAGGTTGCAGTGAGCTGAGATCACGCCACTGCACTCCAACCTGGGGACAGAGTGAGAGTCCATCTCAAAAAAAGAAATGAGCCCTCATAAGAAACCAATCTTGATGGAATCTTGATCTTGGACTTCTAGCCTCCAGAACTGAAGAAAATGCCTTTCTGTTGTTTAGAACACCCAGTGTATGGTGTTTTATTATGGCCGCCTGAGCTAATATATCTGGTGTTTTGGAGAAATGGGAAGAAAACCAGAGTAACCTGGGGCAGATTGAGTGACAGGGAGTATAGTGGGTAATGAAGTAAGAGAGGCACCTCTCCAAGGAGCTAGACAAGAGGGAAACAAATCAGGTAGGACTTTGTAGGGCACTGTATGAACTTTGCTTTTACTCCAAGGGAACTGGGGAGCCACGGCAGCATTTTGAGCTGAGAGTGACACACTCTGAACTATGCTCCAAAAGCATTCCTCTGGTTGCTCTGCTGAGAATAAATTGTAAGAGAAAGGAATAGAAGCTGCAAGAACAATAGAAATCTGATGAAACAATTCAGGGGGGAGATGAAGGTGTCTTGGATTAGGCTGGAGGGGAGAGCCATTGTCAGATTCTGAGTAGAGCGTGACGGTCAAGAGAACAGAATTTCCTAATGCCTGGGGAGTAGGGGTGTGAGAGAAAGAAGAGTCACAGAGGACTCTGAAGTTGATGAGAGCCACAGGAAAGAGGCTCAGGGGACATTAGGCAATATCTGGAGATAGTTTTGATTGTCACAAACTCAGAGGTGCTACTAGTATCTAATGAGTAGAGGCCAGGGATACTATTAAACATCCTCTAACACACAGGAATGCTCCCCACCACAAAGGAGGGTCCCACCCAAATGTCAATAGCACTCAAGTTCAGAAGCCTATGTGCAGAAGGTAGAACAGGTTGGGCTGAAAGCAAGACATACCGTTAGGAAAGATCAGTAGTTTCATTTTGAACATATTAATTTACTTACTAGCTCTCTGGGTACTGGTTGTATGATATTGGGAAATCGTTTCATCTCTCTGGACCTCAGCTTTTTTTCATCTGGAAAATGAGGATTAAAAATTCTACCTACTGCATAGATGTCTTATGGAGTAAAAATGTAATGCACTTAGAATAGTGCCTAACACAGAGTAAGCACTCAATAAATTTTAGCCATGATTATTGAAAGGGAGTATTTCTTATTCATTGTGTATGCCAGCTCTGAGAGCAAGGCCTGGGACATAGTACGTATGCAGTGAATGCTCACTGATGCACGTACCAAACTGATCACAGTGTCTTTTTTTTTTTTCTTTCTTTCCTTCCTTCCTTCTTTCTTCCTTTCTTCCTTCTTTTTTCCTTTCTTCCTTTCTTCCTTCTTTTCTCCTTTCTTCTTTCCTTCCTTCCTTCCTTTCTCTCTCTCTCTCTTTCTTTCTTTCAGAGTCTCACTCTGTCACCCAGGCTGGAGTGCAGTGGCACGATCTCGGCTCACTGCAACCTCCGTCTCCCAGGCTCAAGCAATTCTCCTGCCTCAGCCTCCTGAGTAGCTGGGACTACAAGTGCGCACTGCACCACCACACCCAGCTAATTTTTGTATTTTTAGTAGAGACGGGGTTTCACCATGTTGGTCAGGCTGGTCTCAAACTCCCGACCTTGTGATCCGCCCGCCTCAGCCTCCCAAAGTGTTGGGATTACAGGTGTGATCCACCATGCCTGGCCTGATCACAGAGTATCTATCTGATGATACATGGGGTTTCTCCAGGCCCCACCCCAGCTGGAACTTAAAGGTGAATGTGGGAAGTCAGGTTTGTCAGCAGGTTTTCCTGGAGCTGGGATAAGGAAGCCAAACTGAAGTTTCAGTTGAAACCCATGAGCAGGAAGCATGAGAATGAGGGACAAGATGTAACCAAACCCCAAATCTGTTCAGAGAGGCTTTCCCAGGGGCCTCCTACTGGCTCTGCCTGAAGCCTGGGCTTTTTTCTAAAACGTAATTTCATTTATTTATTGCTTTATGGCTTATAACTCAAACGGCTTTGCATGTCATTTTTTAACTTATTAGTTAATAGACAAAGGTTTTATTAGATCCAATCAAGAAAGAGATCATGCATTCTTTTAATCATGACGTATGCAATGTTAAGCCATTCTTTGTAACTGAAACTCATCAATTTGCTTCTTTCCAAGGACCAGAAAGAGTCCTCTTTGGCTCCAATCCCTCCTGCTTGGCCATCTTCTGGAGCCTGCTATGAATGGTTTCACAGCCCCTGTCCCTTTGCCTTGTAAATCACAGGGATGCGCTTATGTGCACCAAGCTTCAACTTACCAATGTACAACCAGACACCAGGGACATGCAGGGGACCTAGCCATGAGACAAGCAAGCAAAACATGCTAAAGCCTGCATCTGTCAGGATGACTTCAGTTACAGGCAACAGACCAAATTGATTCAAAGTGATGTCTAATATTAAAAGTTTATATATGTATATGTATGTATCTACAGACGTGTAAAAGCTGGCAAAACAGGTCACCCAGAGGTAGGCTACCCCAACATCAGTTCATTCAGTGGCCTAAACAAATCATCAAAAGCCCCCAAATCATTCACGATTACATTCTTGATGCAGCCCAATGCTGGCCACATAGATGCTCAAAGAATATTTGTTAAAAGAATGAGAAGAAAGAGTAGAATGGACCCAAGCTTAGCAGCTTCTTCTACTTGTAAGACATGTACCACTGTTCTCAGCATCTCTTCCAGACACAATAATGTCCAGGTAAAGAATAGACTATTTTTCCTATCTTTGGGGATTTTTGCATATTTTCATTTTGAATTATTTCATATAAACAAGTATACCCAGATATATATATATATACACACACACACACACACACACACACTTATATATGACTTAAAGTCTATGTAGTTTATAGGTAATGTATGTGCCATATTGGGTTTAAAGGAGAATAAAATTAATTAATGTTTCTGTAACTCATTGATGAGTGAAAGAAACAAGACTTAATTAAGCTATGGAATCTTCCTGTATGCCCATCTCCAATTATCTCTCTCTCCCTTCCTACTCCCTCCAGGGAGCTAATCATTAGTCTGAGTGTTGTATCGTTGCTTCATCACTATCCTTTCTCCTCCTTTATAACAGAAGAACACCATTCTCATGAGCACCCAAGAGACTTCCCTCATGTTTTTTTTTTCCCCAGCCAGAGCAGAGTCACATGCCTACCCATTAACCAAATCGCAGACCAAGAGATTGCATTGGCTGTGATTGCCTTGAGCCAATCAGAATTTTTAGTTAGTTTCTTTGTTTGCTTGAGACAGGGTCTAGCTCTGTCACTCAGGCTCTAGTGCTGTGGCACAATCATGGCCCACTGCAGCCTTGACCTTCCAGGTTCAAGCAATCCTCCCACCTCAGCCTCCTGAGTAGCTGAAATTACAAGCACACACCACTATGCCTTGTTATTTTTTGTATTCTTTGTAGAGATGGCGTTTTGCCATTTTGGCTAGACTAGTCTTGAACTCCTGAGCTCAAGCTGATCCGCCTGCCTTGGTTCCCCCAAAGTGTTGGGATTACAGGCATGAGCCACAGCACCTGGCCACGGTTAAAATTTTTAGTTTCTTAAACTTGAGAGAGAAATTATAAAAGGTTGTCCCAAAGGTTTTCATAAAGATTGTCATAAAGATTGAATCAGAGCCTATATGTTACCCTATCATGGTATTGAGTTAATCAGCTGATTTTCTTTCAATATGTAGGCCAACTTTCACTTCCAACTGCAATCCTGCAACTATATACACATACATACACTTGCACAAACACAATCACACAAGTGCACATACAGATACACACGCACATACACATCCGCACAACTCTGAAATTGAATAGTCCTGAGTATTTATCCCACCTCAGTAACACGAGTGACCAGATGTGTTTTTCTTTTCTTTTTTTTTTTTCTTGCCTTCCTGCGTCTCTCTTTCCCCTCATTCTGTTGACAATAATTTTTATACAGCTGCTATGTGCCAGCACTGGAAGTTTCCCAGAATAGAACGATGCGGAAAGAATAAAGACAGCAAAATCTATTTCTTGGGGGGAGGAGCCAAGATGGCCAAATAGGAACAGCTCGAGTCTACAGCTCCCAGCGTGAGCGACGCAGAAGACGGGTGATTTCTGCATTTCCATCTGAGGTACCGGGTTCATCTCACTAGGGAGTGCCAGACAGTGGGCGCAGGTCAGTGGGTGCGCGTACCATGCGCGAGCCGAAGCGGGGCGAGGCATTGCCTCACTCGGGAAGCGCAAGGGGTCAGGGAGTTCCCTTTCCTAGTCAAAGAAAGGGGTGTCAGTCGGCACCTGGAAAATCGGGTCACTCCCACCCGAATACTGCGCTTTTCCGACGGGCTTAAAAAACGGCACCCCAGGAGATTGTATCCCGCACCTGGCTCGGAGGGTCCTATGCCCACGGAGTCTCTCTGATTGCTAGCACAGCAATCTGAGATCAAACTGCAAGGCAGCAGCGAGGCTGGGGGAGGGGCGCCCGCCATTGCCCAGGCTTGCTTAGGTAAACAAAGCAGCCAAGAAGCTCGAACTGGGTGGGGCCCACCACAGCTCAAGGAGGCCTGCCTGCCTCTGTAGGCTCCACCTCTGGGGGCAGGGCACAGACAAACAAAAAGACAGCCGTAACCTCTGCAGACTTAAATGTCCCTGACTGACAGCTTTGAAGAGAGCAGTGGTTCTCCCAGCACGCAGCTGGAGATCTGAGAACAGGCAGACTGCCTCCTCAAGTGGGTCCCTGACCCCTGACCCCCGAGCAGCCTAACTGGGAGGCACCCCCTAGCAGGTGCACACTGACACCTCACACGGCCGGGTACTCCAACAGACCTGCAGCTGAGGGTCCTGTCTGTTAGAAGGAAAACTAACAAACAGAAAGGACTTCCACACCAAAAACCCATCTGTACATCACCATCATCAAAGACCAAAAGTAGATAAAACCACAAAGATGGGGAAAAAACAGAGCAGAAAAACTGGAAACTCTAAAAAGCAGAGCACCTCTCCTCCTCCAAAGGAACGCAGTTCCTCACCAGCAACGGAACAAAGCTGGATGGAGAATGACTTTGACGAGCTGAGAGAAGTCTTCGGATGATCAAATTACTCCGAGCTACGGGAGGACATTCAAATCAAAGGCAAAGAAGTCGAAAACTTTGAAAAAAATTTAGAAGAATGTATAACTAGAATAACCAATACAGACAAGTGCCTAAAGGAGCTGATGGAGCTGAAAACCAAGGCTCGAGAACTACGTGAAGAATGCAGAAGCCTCAGGAGCCGATGCGATCAACTGGAAGAAAGGGTATCAGCAATGGAAGATGAAATGAATGAAATGAAGCGAGAAGGGAAGTTTAGAGAAAAAAGAATAAAAAGAAATGAACAAAGCCTCCAAGAAATATGGGACTATGTGAAAAGACCAAATCTATGTCTGATTGGTGTACCTGAAAGTGATGGGGAGAATGGAACCAAGTTGGAAAACACTCTGCAGGATATTATCCAGGAGAACTTCCCCAATCTAGCAAGGCAGGCCAACATTCAGATTCAGGAAATACAGAGAATGCCACAAAGATACTCCTCGAGAAGAGCAACTCCAAGACACATAATTGTCAGATTCACCAAAGTTGAAATGAAGGAAAAAATGTTAAGGGCAGCCAGAGAGAAAGGTCGGGTTACCCTCAAAGGGAAGCCCATCAGACTAACAGTGGATCTCTTGGCAGAAACTCTACAAGCCAGAAGAGAGTGGGGGCCAATATTCAACATTCTTAAAGAAAAGAATTTTCAATCCAGAATTTCATATCCAGCCAAACTAAGCTTCATAAGTGAAGGAGAAATAAAATACTTTACAGACAAGCAAATGCTGAGAGATTTTGTCACCACCAGGCCTGCCCTAAAAGAGCTCCTGAAGGAAGCGCTAAACATGGAAAGGAGCAACCGGTACCAGCCACTGCAAAATCATGCCAAAATGTAAAGACCATCGAGACTAGGAAGAAACTGCATCAACTAACGAGCAAAATAACCAGCTAACGTCATAATGACAGGATCAAATTCACACATAACAATATTAACTTTAAATGTAAATGGACTAAATGCTCCAATTAAAAGACACAGACTGGCAAATTGGATAAAGAGTCAAGACCCATCAGTGTGCTGTATTCAGGAAACCCATCTCACGTGCAGAGACACACATAGACTCAAAATAAAAGGATGGAGGAAGATCTACCAAGCGAATGGAAAACAAAAAAAGGCAGGGGTTGCAATCCTAGTCTCTGATAAAACAGACTTTAAACCAACAAAGATCAAAAGAGACCAAGAAGGCCATTACATAATGGTAAAGGGATCAATTCAACAAGAAGAGCTAACTATCCTAAATATATATGCACCCAATACAGGAGCACCCAGATTCATAAAGCAAGTCCTGAGTGACCTACAAAGAGACTTAGACTCCCACACATTAATAATGGGAGACTTTAACACCCCACTGTCAACATTAGACAGATCAACGAGACAGAAAGTCAACAAGGATACCCAGGAATTGAACTCAGCTCTGCACCAAGCGGACCTAATAGACATCTACAGAACTCTCCACCCCAAATCAACAGAATATACATTTTTTTCAGCACCACACCACACCTATTCCAAAATTGACCACATACTTGGAAGTAAAGCTCTCCTCAGCAAATGTAAAAGAACAGAAATTATAACAAACTATCTCTCAGACCACAGTGCAATCAAACTAGAACTCAGGATTAAGAATCTCACTCAAAACCGCTCAACTACATGGAAACTGAACAACCTGCTCCTAAATGACTACTGGGTACATAACGAAATGAAGGCAGAAATAAAGATGTTCTTTGAAACCAACGAGAACAAAGACACAACATACCAGAATCTCTGGGACGCATTCAAAGCAGTGTGTAGAGGGAAATTTATAGCACTAAATGCCCACAAGAGAAAGCAGGAAAGATCCAAAATTGACACCCTAACATCACAATTAAAAGAACTAGAAAAGCAAGAGCAAACACATTCAAAAGCTAGCAGAAGACAAGAAATAACTAAAATCAGAGCAGAACTGAAGGAAATAGAGACACAAAAAAGCCTTCAAAAAATTAATGAATCCAGGAGCTGGTTTTTTGAAAATATCAACAAAATTGATAGACCGCTAGCAAGACTAATAAAGAAAAAAAGAGAGAAGAATCAAATAGATGCAATAAAAAATGATAAAGGGGATATCACCACTGATCCCACAGAAATACAAACTACTATCAGAGAATACTACAAACACCTCTACGCAAATAAACTAGAAAATCTAGAAGAAATGGATAAATTCCTCGACATATACACTCTTCCAAGACTAAACCAGGAAGAAGTTGAATCTCTGAATAGACCAATAACAGGATCTGAAATTGTGGCAATAATCAATAGCTTACCAACCAAAAAGAGTCCAGGACCAGATGGATTCACAGCCGAATTCTACCAGAGGTACAAGGAGGAACTGGTACCATTCCTTCTGAAACTATTCCAATCAATAGAAAAAGAGGGAATCCTCCCTAACTCATTTTATGAGGCCAGCATCATCCTGATACCAAAGCCGGGCAGAGACACAACCAAAAAAGAGAATTTTAGACCAATATCCTTGATGAACATTGATGCAAAAATCCTCAATAAAATACTGGCAAACCGAATCCAGCAGCACATCAAAAAGCTTATCCACCATGATCAAGTGGGCTTCATCCCTGGGATGCAAGGCTTGTTCAATATATGCAAATCAATAAATGTAATCCAGCATATAAACAGAACCAAAGACAAAAACCACATGATTATCTCAATAGATGCAGAAAAGGCCTTTGACAAAATTCAACAACCCTTCATGCTAAAAACTCTCAATAAATTAGGTATTGATGGGACGTATTTCAAAATAATAAGAGCTATCTATGACAAACCCACAGCCAATATCATACTGAATGGGCAAAAACTGGAAGCATTCCCTTTGAAAACTGGCACAAGACAGGGATGCCCTGTCTCACCACTCCTATTCAACATAGTGTTGGAAGTTCTGGCCAGGGCAGTCAGGCAGGAGAAGGAAATAAAGGGTATTCAATTAGGAAAAGAGGAAGTCAAATTGTCCCTGTTTGCAGACGACATGATTGTATATCTAGAAAACCCCATTGTCTCAGCCCAAAATCTCCTTAAGCTGATAAGCAACTTCAGCAAAGTCTCAGGATACAAAATCAATGTACAAAAATCACAAGCATTCTTATACACCAATAACAGACAAACAGAGAGCCAAATCATGAGTGAACTCCCATTCACAATTGCTTCAAAGAGAATAAAATACCTGGGAATCCAACTTACAAGGGATGTGAAGGACCTCTTCAAGCAGAACTACAAACCACTGCTCAAGGAAATAAAAGAGGATACAAACAAATGGAAGAACATTCCATGCTCATGGGTAGGAAGAATCAATATCATGAAAATGGCCATACTGCCCAAGGTAATTTATAGATTCAATGCCATCCCCATCAAGCTACCAATGACTTTCTTCACAGAATTGGAAAAAACTACTTTAAAGTTCATATGGAACCAAAAAAGAGCCCGCATCGCCAAGTCAATCCTAAGCCAAAAGAACAAAGCTGGAGGCATCACCCTACCTGACTTCAAACTATACTACAAGGCTACAGTAAGCAAAACAGCATGGTACTGGTACCAAAACAGAGATATAGATCAATGGATCAGAACAGAGCCCTCAGAAATAATGCCGCATATCTACAACTATCTGATCTTTGACAAACCTGAGAAAAACAAGCAATGGGGAAAGGATTCCCTATTTAATAAATGGTGCTGGGAAAACTGGCTAGCCATATGTAGAAAGCTGAAACTGGATCCCTTCCTTACACCTCATACAAAAATCTATTAAAGATGGATTAAAGACTTAAACGTTAGACCTAAAACCATAAAAACCCTAGAAGAAAACCTAGGCATTACCATTCAGGACATAGGCATGGGCAAGGACTTCATGTCTAAAACACCAAAAGCAATGGCAACAAAAGACAAAATTGACTAATGGGATCTAATTAAACTAAAGAGCTTCTGCACAGCAAAAGAAACTACCATCAGAGTGAACAGGCAACCTACAAAATGGGAGAAAATTTTCGCAACCTACTCATCTGACAAAGGGCTAATATCCAGAATCTACAATGAACTCAAACAAATTTACAAGAAAAAAACAAACAACCCCATCAAAAAGTGGGCGAAGGACATGAACAGACACTTCTCAAAAGAAGACATTTATGCAGCCAAAAAACACATGAAAAAATGCTCACCATCACTGGCCATCAGAGAAATGCAAATCAAAACCACAATGAGATACCATCTCACACCAGTTAGAATGGCAATCATTCAAAAGTCAGGAAACAACAGGTGCTGGAGAGGATGTGGAGAAATAGGAACACTTCTACACTGTTGGTGGGACTGTAAACTAGTTCAACCATTGTGGAAGTCAGTCTGGCGATTCCTCAGGGATCTAGAACTAGAAATACCATTTCACCCAGCCATCCCATTACTGGGTATATACCCAAAGGACTATAAATCATGCTGCTATAAAGACACATGCACACGTATGTTTATTGCGGCATTATTCACAATAGCAAAGACTTGGAACCAACCCAAATGTCCAACAATGATAGACTGGAATAAGAAAATGTGGCACATATACACCACGGAATACTATGCAGCCATAAAAAATGATGAGTTCATGTCCTTTGTAGGGACATGGATGAAATTGGAAATCATCATTCTCAGTAAACTATCGCAAGAACAAAAAACCAAACACCGCATATTCTCACTCATAGGTGGCAATTGAACAATGAGAACACATGGACACAGGAAGGGGAACATCACACTCTGGGGACTGTTGTGGGGTGGGGGGAGAGGGGAGGGATAGCATTGGGAGATATACCTAATGCTAGATGATGAGTTAGTGGGTGCAGCACACCAGCATGGCACATGTATACATATGTAACTAACCTGCACATTGTGCACATGTACCCTAAAACTTAAAGTATAATAAATAAATAAATAAATAAATAAATAAACAGAAAACAAACAAACAAAAAGAATAAAGACAGAATCCTGCCCAATGGGACAGGATTCAAAGACTCGTACAAATAAATGCAAAGTTATAATTCTATTATAATTGCACCAGCCTAATACTAAATCCCATGAAGACGAGTTCTGTCTGTGAGGCCACATGGTGCGAGCTGCATGGAGGGCTTCCCTAGGAAGAGAAGGAATTGGAATCTGAAGGAAGAGTAGGCATCATTTGGACATCAGCTGTGGTATGCTCAAGCCCGCCCATACGCCTCGTGAGAAGTGATAGTGCAATGTTCAGGAACTGTGCAAGCTGGTTATTAAGCACAGTGCTTATTAAGAATTAAATGATACAAACATAAAATTTTAAATGCTATATTAAAAACAAAGCGATAAATTCTCACAACTTATCACTCCCTGATAAGGGAAATGCCATATAATGAGGTTTTATGATCCTTCTCATCCCAACTTTTTGTCCAGTGACATCATGTTAGTAGCTTGAAACTTGGCCATGGTGGGAGTATTTCCACCACAGAAATTGGCAAGTGCTGTAGACGAGGTTTTTGTTTTATTATCCACCCACCCCTACCTAGAAAGCCAGTTATTAAACATTTACCAGCACACAAACTGGCAAAGGGGATTCAAGGAGAACATTATAGATAATAGGGACAGTTCATAAAAAGGCCCCATGGTAGAGAGTAACATGACATATCTGAGAAATTGAAACAAGTTTCATTGAGAATACTAAGAATCTCTACCTCAAAGCGTTTTAAGGACCAAATAGAATAACCCATATAAACTGTTTCAAACAGTGCCTAGCACATAGTAAGTTCTTAATAATGGTAGTTTAGTTTTTTTTTAAGTTCAGCAGTGTCCAATTGCTTCCAATGGTAGCTTTTAGGTGTAGATTGTTAAGAAACAGGATGGCAGATACTACTAGCTCCCTACCCAATATCCACTCCATCCCTTCTTCCTCAACTTAACAGAACTGCAATATTGTTCAGAGTAGCAAGGTACTCAGTTACAATATTTGTGATCCCAGGCTCTGTGGAGTTCAAGAAAGCCACAGCACTCAGTGTTGACCAAAAAGACATAACTGAGGGTCTTGGGAAAAACCCCCTTTCTGGATGCTCTTCATAACTGGAATGTGGACATGGGGCTTGAAGCTGCAACAGGCATTTTTGCATTTGTGTGCATCCTTGAGCTGCTATAACAAAATACCATATATGGAGAGCCTTCCAAACAACAAAAAAGTATTTCCCACAGTTCTGGAGACTGGAAATCCAAGACCAAGGTGCTGGCAGATTCCATGTCTGATGAGGTCCTGATCTTTATACACAACTATATTCTCACTGTAACCTCACATGGCCGAAGGGGAAAGCAAGGGATCTCTCTCAGACCCCTTAAATAAGAACACTAATCCCATTCATGAGGCTTCTGCCCTCATGACCCAGCACCTCCCAACAGCCTCATCTCCTAACAGCAGTATCTTGGGTATTAGGATTTCAACATATGAATTTGCAAGAAGCATAAACATTCCATCCAGGGATGGAATTGTATGGAGGATGTTGAGGATGCATGGAGGGGAGGAAGAATGAAAATCTTGGGATCACTGATGCTAACAGTCAGCCACTGGAATGGTCCTCTGGACTTTGTATATGGTGGCTTCCAAATCTGTCATCCATGTCCATTGATCCATTGATGGACACTTAGGTTGATTCCATGTCTTGGCTGATATGAATAATACAATGAACATAGGAGTGCAAATATCTCTTTGACTTACTGATTTTATTTCCTTTGGGTATATAATTCAGAAGCGGGATTGCTGGATCAAATGGTTCTATTTTTAGTTTTTTGAGGAACCTCCATACTGTTTTCCATAGTGGCTGCACCAATTTACATTCCCACCAACAGTGTAAAAGAGTTCCCTTTTCTCCACACCCTGGCCAACATTCACGATCTTTTTTTGATAATAGCCTTTCTAACAGGTGTGAGGTGATAAATCACTGTGGTTTTCATTTGCATTTCCCTGATGATCAGTGATATTGAGCATGTTTACATAAACCTGTTGGCCATTTGTAGGTCTTCTTTTGAGAAATGTCTTTTCATGTCCTTTGCCTGTTTCTTAATCAGGTTACTCATTTTCTTGAGTTCTAGGAGTTTCTTATATATTTTGGGTATTAATCCTTTATCAGAAGTACAATTTGAAAATATTTTCTCCTATTCTGTAGGTCATCTTTCCACTCTGTTCATTGTTCCCTTTGCTGTACATAAGCCTTTTAGTTTGATGTAATCCTATTTGTCAATTTTTGCTTCTGTTGCCTGTGCTTTGGGGATCATATAAACACAATAAAATACTATTAAACATTTAAAAAGAGGCAATCCTGTCATTTGTGACAACATGGATGAACCTCGAAGACATTTTGCTAAGTGAAATAAGCCAGACACAGAAAGACAAATTCTGCATGATCTCACTTTTATATGAAAACTGAAAAAGAGTCAAACTCATAGAAGCAGAGAGTAGAATGGTGGTTACCAAGGGCTGGAGGCAGGGGAGAGGAAATAGAGAGATGTTTGCCAAAGGACACGAAATTTCAGTTAGAGAGGAGGAGGAAGTTGAGGATATCTATTGTACACATGGTGACTGTAGTTACTAACAGTGTACTGCAATCTTGAAAACTGCTAACAGAGTAGATTTTACATGTTCTTATTACACAAAACAGCTCTCATCACTCACACACAAAAATGAAAGGTAATGAATATGTTAATTAGATTGATTTTGCTACCTCACAGTTTATATATATATCAAAACATATTTATGTTATATACTATATATATATTCAATTTTTATTTGTCAATTAAAAAATAATTAATTTTTAAAAATTCCTTATCTATTTAAGCCACTGAAGCTGTGTGTTCCATTACTTGCAGCTGAATGTATTCCTAACTGATACAAATGAATTTTCCAGCCAGCATAATAGGCAATGTGGCTATAAGAAGCCAGTCAAAAGACCCTAGAAACTTGCCACTGAAATATTCTGGTTCAAGGACCAACAGGATTCACAGCACCTGGAAGCTGGTTAGAAATATATAGTCTCAGGTCCCACCCTGAACCTCCTAACAAAATTTACATTTTAACAAGTTCTCCAAATATTCATTCCACAATAATAAAAATTTAGAAACACTTCTGCAGAAAATCCTCGTGGAACAGTTAGACTTTCTAACCTTTTGATTTAAGGACATTTGTCCGAAAATGCTCTAAAGCTGCAAAACCAGAACCTATCCGTGCAAGCAGATTTTTTTTTTTTTTTTTTGATGCTTGCTGGACTCCATTGTGAGCCTCATAAGGCAACCAGAATTTGCTGTTAGCAGCTCTCTAAAGTGGTTGCAAGATTACCCAACACCCAGAAACGAAGCCTAAACATCCATCCCTTGATAAACACATCTAGGCCCTGAAAAGTTCAAGCTCTGTGTTGGGTCTTGACCTCTGAAATATTTATACACAGTGATGCACCTTCCAGATAACATCTCCTGGAATCTGCTTAGCAGCCAGGCTGCAACAGGGAGTGAGTGAATAAATGCTCTTGTTGTCTATAATTCAGCAAGAAAGCTTTTGCTAAGCCCCCAGACACAGCTAAGAATAGCCAGGTTCCTTCTCGTCTTTGAGAGCTCCAAGTTCAAAAATAAGTTTCCCGCTCCTCTCCTGCATCCGCTAGACTATGCTGTAGAAGCTCTCACAGTTGGTGCTACCCTGGCCCATACCCAAGAAATACCCTTGTTTGTTGGAATGGATTCAGCTCTTGGCTGATTTCTTTCTTGTACCACTCCTTGCCAGACTAGTTCAATCTTGGGTCATTCCTGTTTGGGTTTCTTGATTAACTCCAAGTCTCCCAGGGAAAGGAAGAGAAAAAAAGCTTTGTTAGAGCAACAAGACCCATGAGTCACACCAGCCTAGGCTTGTCTTCTCTCTCCAAGCAGACCCTCCAGAAGACCTATCTTCATTCCTCTACTTTGAGAGTTCTACTCTTCTCTATGAATTCTAAAACTGGGTTTTCCCTCCTGTCCCCTGACTAAGGGAGATCTGAAGAGCAGGGTCTTTAGAATGTAACATGCCAAAAATCAAATCCCTGCTTGGCCTCTAACCAACTGTGGGACTGGGAGTAAGTGACTTGAGCTTCCCAAGCTTCAGTGTCCTTGGTGATAATGATGTCCACTCATGGCTCATGCCAAGAATTTTGTGCATATCCACTAGAATATGTGTCCTGCGAGGGTAAGGTTTCTCCCTGAGTTGCCTACTGGTGTATCTCTGGTGTCTCTATCTATGCCTGAAGTTACTCAATAAATACATTTTTTATGGGTGGGGATAACTGATTCTTACAACAGTCCTATAAGGTAGATGCTATAACCCTTCCCATTTTTCAGATGTTGAAACCAAGGTTCAGAACGGTGAAGTCAGTTGTTCAAGATCACACAGGCTATATGTGACAGAGTCAAGATTAGGACACAAACCTGCCTGCCTTCAAAGCCTATTCCAGCCATCCTAAGGAGCTGTACATATTAGATATTGAAGTCAATATGCATAACACACTTCACACTCGGTAGGTGGCCAATAAATACTGTCTCCCTCTTCCTCTTGGTCTCTCATACCATCTTCTCTCACCAATCCTGTTTTCTACTCCCCCATCTTTCCCCAAACTCTACTTCAAGTTGGAAAACATTGCCACAAATTTAAAAACAAACAAAAAAAACCTCCTTGGCTTGGCCTCCTCAGTTCCCACCAACTGATAGGAAGCAGACATTCAAACTCAAGGGAAGGGAAAGAGGGTATATTCATCCTCAGTGACGCTCCCAATGACAAGGACAGTTCTGCTTGAGACCTCAGTTTCCTGTTTTTTTAACCTCTACCTTTCTATCACAGCCGAGATGTGTCATGTCAGCATATTGTGATCATTCTTTAAGTGAGGTATGTACGCTAGCTGCTTGTGAAAATTCAGGTTCCTGGGCCCTGCCCCCAACCTACTTAATTCAAATTTCTGGGGGCAGGGCCCCAGAGTATGCATTTTTAATGATCTCCCTGAGTGGTTCCTAGGCACACTAAAGTCTGGAAACCCCTAACACAGAACTTTGGCAAGCGGGAGAGGAAAAGCAAGCACTTCCTCAACCTGAGCACGTAAAACTCTGCACTGCAAGCTGAGCTCGGGAAGCTGAGTTCCTGAGGGGGATGGCTTCTCCTGTCTCTTATCCACCATGCACTCTTGGGATCTCCCTCTCATTTGCCACTGGAGACAGACGTTGTAGCTCTGCTTGGCTCCTGCACCCCTGAATTCATGCGTGTTCTGCATCATATTCCACTCTGTTCCAACTGTCCCTGGGTGTAGCTTTCCCTTACGGCAGTAAGTGGTCCCCAACTTTTTCAGCATCAGGAATGGTTTCATGGAAGACAATTTTTCCATGGATTGGGGGTTGGGGTGGGGGTGGTTTTGGGATAAACTGTTCCACCTCATATCATCAGGCATTAGTTACATTCTCAAAAGGAGCGTGCAACCTAGATCCCTCGCATGCACAGTTCACACTAGGGTTCACGCTCCTATATGAATCTGATGATGCTGTTGATCTAACAGGAGGCGGAGCTCAGGTGGTTATGCTCACTCATCTGTTGCTCACCTCCTGCTGTGTGTTTCAGTTCCTAAGAGGCCACAGACCAGTACCAGTCCACAGCCTGAGGGCTGGGGACCCCTGCCCTAGAGCATACAGTGCTGCCTCTAGCTTTCAGTGAGGAATAAAATTTCCACTGAGCTGGAGAATTTAACATATTAGTTAAAGGGAGAAGTTAACATATTAGTCACTGAGGTAAATAAATACTACAAAAATAAAAAAAAAGGAAAGGAATAAAGGAAGGCAGGGAAGGAGGGAGGGAGGGGAAAAAAGTAGTTATTCACAGCCATGAACATGCCATGAGGTTTGTAGGGAGTGAAACACACACACATACACACACACACACACACACACATGCACACGTGTTTGTGTTGCTATTTCACTCTCTTTCATTCATTTTTCCAAGTCCCTTCAACATCAACCTTATCACAGTTTTCTTTTTGTGGACCTGGGCATGTCGCTGAACCTGTCTGTGTCTCTGGAGCCATAAAATTGGGATAATAACCCTACTTTTTCTGCCCCCAAGATGTTGTGGAGTAACTTAGATGTGGCTGCTTTCTTTGAAAAGACTAGAGAGTTGTACAAGTATCACAGGTTATTATGATCATTACCAGTTTCCAGGGCCCCTGAGATACCCATGCCAAAGTACCCCAAGGCTCTCTAATGAGCACATATGAACCCGTTCTACAGCTGGACAAGCTGACTCAGTCTGAGCTTTGGCAACATGACCCAGTGAACAGTAGAACAAGTTGAAGACATCAAATGAGGCTCCTAGCCCTTGCTTGTGGACGCTGTTGTGTTTTGCATGTAAGTCAACATACTTTGGTGAAGGGAACAAAGGGAAGTGGGTCATAAAAGTTCAGGACCTTTGCTCCTGGAAGCTGTGAGCACTACTTCTTCCAGAAAGGTCCTTTGTTGCTTCTAGGCACTAATAGGATCAATTGACCTCATGGTAGTCCAGGATTTGGGCTTGTAAGCTCCCCTTGGATCTGATAAAATATTGAGTCAAGGTCCTCTGCTGCCATCAGGGCACAGACAACGTCTGTTGCTTTAAATGCCGTATCCCTAGAGTTCTGCTCAGGGACCTGACACATAGTAGGTGCTCAATAAATGTTTGCTGAATAAGTAAGTGATTGAATAAATGAATGAACAAAAGAGTAAATAAATTTCCCCGTGGGATTCCAGATAAACAGGATATGCTCTCTATGTCTCCTCTCCACACCCACAGCCAATGTTGACAGATTCCCATCCTGTGAGTCCAGATGCAGTCTCAATTCTTGCGGCAGCCACTTCCAATTATTTGTTCATCAACTATCAATCCAGGGCCTCAAAGGTGCAAGGCACTGTTCTAGATACTATGGAACATGGCATTGGATAAAAAGCCAGCTCTCTACCCTGTAGCTGCTTTTATTCCACAGATTTGGCAGAAGAAATGAAACTGATTTACCACCCACAGTTGCCAGAGTAGGAGCCTTTTCAGAGATTCCTCCTCCCCAGGGATCAAGTATTGTTTTGCTTACACAACGGGAACATCATTCTCTGCTCACATCCCATGCTTGATCAATTGCTAGGTCCTATACACACAGATCCTAAAATATTCCTAATATGTTTTGAATCTGGTCACCTCCCCTAATCACCCCTCCCTAGTCTGGAATAACATCGATACTTCCTGGCCAACCGCAGTGGCCCCACCCCTACCATCCTCCAACTTATTATTCATGCAATGGCCTTAGCTCAGCACCTGGCACACAGGGCTTTCGATAAACGCTACTTAGTGTTTTTGTTTTTACAGCAGGGGATCAATACAAGGTAGCCCAATACTACAGTTTCTGCAATTATCACTGAGACAAAGTACATGGAGAGGCTGAAACACATAGACTCTGGAGTTAGACTTCCAGCACCCAAATATATCTTTGCCATTTACTCATTATGCATTTTTAACCTTAACCTCTCTGCGTCTCAGTTTCTTCATCCACAAAATAGAGATAAAAATGAGCTGGCTGCAAAGTGTATGCACATTAATATATGTAAAGGGGCTAGACCAGTTTGAGGCACATAGTAAACACTCTATAAGTGTTATCCATTCTTGATTTTTTTTTTAACATGGCAAAATGTAGAAGAGCGATTAGGTAGGATACTTAGCACTCTTGTTTCTGTTTGTTAAGTAACAAATAAATTTGTTCAGCCATTTCGCATGTTTTGATTAATCACTCACACACAGAATATGTTGGGTACTCCTAGGTATGATGGGCAAATTCTATGAGGACATGACTCCCAAATGCATTTCCCACCACGGGGGGAAGACAACACATACCCTGGAACGCTATCCCTTTTAATCACAGGAAAGACAAAATGGTAATGTTGCTTCACGCTTACCCTCAACAAGTAACGTTGCTTCACGCTTATCCCCGACGACAGGTAACGTTGCTTCACGCTTACCCCCCGACAAGCCTGCCAAATATTTAAGCTTCCCCTTCCATTCACAAGCATCCATGCCCCTGACAATTCTCTGCCTGCTGATGATCTTCACCTGCGCCCACTGGTTGAACTTCCCCAAACCCCCACCTCCCCAAGCCCTCTTTTCTTCTCTTTCACTATTCCCAAATTCTCTGTCAGTCTCTGTTAATTTTCACTGAAGAAAAAAAAAGCTACTTCCTAAAATGTTCAAAAGTCTTTCCTCAGTTTGTTATTAAAGCAATTATCTAGCATAACAAACCGAAATCGCAAAAGGTATTCTAATGGGAAACAAATGCTCCTGACAAGCAACGGACTGGGCTCAGAATCTTTATTGAAAAATGAGGGGAAGGTGATTAGTGGGGAAAGGCAGGGGAGGAAAGATTTTCCACCTGGCCTTGGACAGTACATCAAAAGGCGGTCAGAAGGATGCTATTTATAATCATTATTGCTATGTCTTACAGGGCTGTTGGTCTGCCCCCCCTGCTGATTCCCCCGACAGTCCCGTTTCGGCATGTAGCCTAGTTCACACAGCAGCCACCTTGTAGAGCTGGACTACATGGGGCCATGTCCTGAAGAAAACTTGCGGCCAAGCATGGTGACTCACGCCTGTAATCCCAGTACTTTGGGAGGCAGAGGTGGGCGGATCACCTGAGGTCAGGAGTTTGAGACAAGCCTGGCTGACATGGTGAGACCCCGTCTCTACTAAAAATACAAAAGTTAGCTGGGCATGGTGGCATGCCCCTGTAATCCCAGCTACTCAGGAGGCTGAGGCAGGAGAGTAGCTTGAACCTGGGAGGCAGAGGGTGCAGTAAGCCGAGATCGCGCCCTTGCACTCCAGCCTGGGAGACAGAGCAAGACTCCATCTCAAGAAAAAGAAAAAAAGAAAGAAAGAAAAAAGAAAACTTGCATGGTTTGAGGTCCATGTGCCACAGCGAGATGGGTTCCCAAGTGTCTTCATTCCATCCCTAACATCTTTCCAACCTCACCTCAACCTTCTAATGGGTCATGGCCAATAGCAAAATCCAACACCTAGAACAGCTGCTGAACTTCCCAGATGCCCAGTGAAGTTCTGATTTTCTGTGGGTATGGACTGGAATAGTGTGAATATCACAGGAAACAAGGCTAGGGGAAAACACATTCATTCCACAAACATTTATCAGGCATGTATGATGTGTATATGGGTGGAAATAAAAGAGCTTTCTTCAAGTGTTGACACCAGTATGGAAGATAGGTTTAATTTTGATCCAACTCCCATTGATTGGTCACTGCGACCTGAAACCATGACTTGAGAATATTCTGCTCTCAGAAGGAAGTGATTCTCTGGTTGATTATTGATGCCTGTCACAGGCACAATACCGAGAAATGGGAGCACACTGCCTATTTGACAAAGCTTTTTAGTGCCGCTTTTCTCAAACTGGAATGTGCATGCTAATTAACTGGGATCTTGTTAAATTACAGATTCTAAAATAGCAGGTCTGGGGTAGGGCCTGAGATTTAGTATTTCTAGCAAGATCCCAGGAGGTGCTGATGCTGCTGGGCCAAGGAACTGTCCAGTAGGACCTATCAATAAAGTCATCACATTCTCAGATCTGTCATTCACATGGTCAGATAACTTTATCTAAATCTTTGCACTGAAGAACAAGGAATTCCAGAGTACATTCTGAAAGGACGATTCAAGATCTGGTCTCTGAGTTTTCCAAAATCAAAGGCGGTGGTCCAGTCAGCTCAGACTTGGAACAGGTGTTTCCATGGATTGTCTGGGAGCAAATGAAGGCTCCCAGAGGGTTTCAGGCTCGGCTCAGAACTCCATCCAGAAGTTCAGATGTTTCTCCAAATCAACTCCAAGGCATCTGTCTGTCTCTGGGGGCCTCCTAGGAACTCTGTCTAAAGCTCCAGAAGACCGCATTCCTGGTGAACCTTCAGGCAGCACCACCTCCTTCTTGGCTGAACAGATGATCACTTCAAAGTTCTCCTTTCTTGTGGTATTTTAGTACCTCTGGCCTTGGCCAGAAACCATCAACCCAGAGGCGTATAAAAGTGAAAAAGAAGAGAAGAGAGAAAACATCATTTATCAACTCCCCTACTCACACCTAAATATTGTCAAAGAGTTTTGTTTGGACCAAGTTTGAGTTAGGGTGAAGATCCAATGAGACCTTACAGAGTTTGTTAACTCTTGTTCTATTTCCCCACTTATATCCTCTTATACCAGAAGGAGCAAAAATCACCCACCAAATAGATGGTGTCATATTTACAATCTTCCAGCTGCTCAAAGAACATCTTCTAGCCATGCAGTGAGAGGGGTGACACAATGCACAGGAGACCTATGCTTGGTGGACAGACATACCTCTCCTGAGCAAGGTTGTGTAGAAAAGAGTTAAAGAGCAGATGGGTTGGAAATCACATTTTGGTTTTGAGATCCCAGTTTCACCACTGAAGTACTCCATCTCATACTCTCTCCTGCTCATGGACTATAGTCAAGCTGTACTGTCCATGTTTCTGTTCCTCTAAGGTTGTTCCCACCCCACTGTCTTTGCACCTGCTATTCCTTCCATTTAGAATGATCTTCCACAAATCTTTAAACGGTTGCCTCCCGTGACTTGAGTTGCACCTCATCTACCACCTCTACAGAGAGGTCTTAACTGATCATACCGGCTAAAGGAGTCCACACCACCTCTGGCCATTTTTAAGCACATTGCCCTAATTAATTTATTACATAGCTCTACTCTCTGTCTGAATTTGAATGACAGTTTTTAAAATTTGTTTATATGTTAATTGTCTGTATTTTCCTCTAGAATATAAGCTCCATGAGGGTAGGAATTTGTCTTCTGTTTGCTGGGGTATTTTTATACATCTTGAAGAATTCCTGACACATAGAATGTACTCAATATATATTTATTATTGCTATTGAATAAATGATCTCCCTGGCTAGAGTGATTGGTTTAGGGCTGATCATGTGATTTCACCAGGGTGATGTGATTTTGGCAGGGCCAAAGCTTTTCGGGCTTTTTCTCTTGAGTTAATGGAAAGAGAAGTCACTTTCCACTGGCCACACTAGAGGACTGTGGGTGTTGAGCTAACAGAAGACATTTCACCTACTGGGTGAAGAAAGCCTGCCCAAGAGATGGCTTGAGCCCTGACCACAAAATGTAGATGATGTCTGCAACTAGAAATGTCTACCTTTGGCATCTTCAGCTACAGTGACTCTGTATCCACCATTTCCTCCTCCCCCTATTCAACAGCAATGCAGAAAGCTTAAGTTGCACTGGGTGTCTGTCATTCACAATTGATGCAGTCTAAGCAATCCATGTGGGATTGTGGCTAGATCTACATTAGGTCCTGCTTCTACCACTTCCTAGCTAGAGGACGCTGTAGCAGGTTGAATGCTAGTTCCCCCGAAACATGTTCACCATGTAACATTTGGAAAAAGGCCCTTTTTAGATATAATTACAGATCTCGACAGGAGATCATTCTCAATCATCCAGGTAGGCCCTACATCCAATGATAGTGTCTTTATAGGAGAAATACAAAGGCAAATTGGAGAGACACAGAAGAGAAGGCCATGTGAAGACAGTGGCAGAGATTGGCGTGACACAGATACAAGTCAAAGAATATCTGGAGGCTCAGAAGTTGGAAGTGGCAAGGAATGGCTTCTCTCCTGGAGGTTTTGGGGGATGTGAAGTTCTTCTGACACCTTGATTTTGGCCCAGTGATACTTATTCCAGACTTCTTGCCTCTAGAACTGTGAGAAAACACATCATTTTTGTTGTTTTAAGCCACCAAGCTTGTAGTAAATTGGTACAGCAGCCACAGAAAACTAATACAGATCCCCAAACTCTCTCCTATTTCAATTTCCTTTTCAGGAAAAACAAAACACTGATTTCTCCCAGTTTTCATCAAAGAAGGAATCAAATGGAAATAAAATTAACCTGGGCCCAAATCACAGCTCTGTTCCTCACTAGCTGTGTGACCTCCGGCAGCTCTTGTTTTCTGAGTCATGGTTTTATAATTTGTGAAATGGGTGCATTCATAACCCTCTCCCCATAAAATCTGCAGAAAGGATTAAATGCAGTAATGCCTGTAAACTTTTCTGTGCAGTGCCTAGCACATCATAGATACTCACTGGATTACCAGACTATTCTGGTCATTATATACTTTCATATACGTGCATTTGCTTTGTATCATAGGGGAGTCACTCTAAAAGAAAGTCTTGAACTATTATTTCAGGAAACTTTGAAATGTCTGTGAACAGGATGTTGACATTTTTAGATCAGTGATTTTCAAATGTCGTAGTTAGTTGCTGATAAATTATTCTGAAAGATAGTTAAATACAGAGATCACTGGATTCCTTCAGACGCTTCTTAATTGGGAATTCAAGAAGTAGGGCTGTGAACCTGGATTTTAAACAAGCAGAGCGACATGTGGAAGCCATTCTTTTTAGATTATAATTCCTATTATTATTACTTTGAAAGCAGTTGCTGAAAATGTGCCAGACACAACCTACCCCAGTGAGTGCTGTCCGAGAAGCTGGACCCTGGTCTCCTCTCTCACTCCAAGCCTCTGCAGCCAAGCATACTGTGCACTGGAGGGTTCAGCTGGACAGAGCCTCTCCCCAAGGTGGTTCCCACTGGGACTATATTCAGGGAGTCAGCGAGAGTTTTCTCCAACTCCCACAGACCTTGTGATGTGGTGTTCCCTGTCGGGTGAGACAGAGGGAACATATGTGAGGAACACATATCATAAACAATGGAATCCATAAATCTTGGGCACGTTGTCTGGTTCCTTAATTCCAGTTGCAGAACAACAGTCAGGACCAGGAATTGCAGGCAGATCTGCAGGCTGCCCCAGTCTGCCTTCTGAAGGCCAGTTGCTGCAGAGAGAAGCTCATGTTGGCAAAAGCTTTTTATCTATCTGTGATTTATCACCCTACCTTTTTTTTTAATGGAAGATGCAAAAACTAAATAACTTAAAAGACAGTCTCTAACATTCTTGCCTGTAGCCTTAGGAAGCATAGGCCTTAAGTGATGCTCAGCAAGTTTGTGAAAACCCCAACTGTTTCCCGAGACAAACTTCTTTTGTTTTTTTTTTTGTTTGTTTGTTTTTTGGTGATGAGACATCCATTTCATGGTTTTTTGTTTTTTAATTTCGGTAGTTTTTTGGGGTACAGGTGGTTTTTGGTTACATGGATAAGTTCTTTAGTAGTGATTTCTGAGACTTTAGGACACCCATCACTGAAGCAGTGTACACTGCACCCAGTAGGTAGTCTTTTATCCTTCACCCCCTCCCAAACTTCTCCCCTGAGTCCTCAAAGTCTATTATATCACTCTTATGCCTTTGTGTCCTCATAGCTTAGCTCCCACTTATAAGAGAATACACTATATTTGATTTTCCATTCCTGTGTTACTTCACTTACAATAACAGCCTCCAGCTTCATCCAAGTTGCTATAAAAGACATTATTTCGTTGCTTTTTATGGCTGAATAGTATTCCATGGTGTACATATACCACATTTTCTTAATCCACTCGTTGATTGATGGGCACTTAGCGTGGTTCCATATCTGTGCAATTGCGAATTGTGCTGCTATTAACATGTGTGTGCATGTGCCCTCTTTATGTAATGACTTCTTTTCCTTTGGATAAATACCCAGTAGTTGATTGCTGGATCAAATGGTAGTTCTACTTTCATTTCTTTAAGGAGTCTCCATACTGTTTTCCATAGTGACTGTACTAATTTACATTCCCACCTGCAGTGTAAAAGTGTTCCCTGTTCACCACATGCATGCAAGGCAAACTGTTTGGAAGGAAAGCTGTTCCCTGAGTTCAGATTCTGCTTCTATGTTATCTGCATTTACTTGTTTTCTGGCATTCACAGAGCTAAGAATACAGTAAAGTATTTCCAGCACCTACATCTCTACCTAATTAAAAAAAAAAAAAAAGCAAAGAAACACTGAGACAATGCTTTGTTTCAGGAACAAAAGAAAGTTTGTATACCCTTAGCCTGCATCATTCATTTGTATGCCAGATCTCTGAAAGGAGTTTGTAAAACCTGTTCGACTGAGCTCCTGGTACTGGAGGCCTGCAGACTGGGAGAAAGGACTGGATTCCAACCCCAATCTCGGGACTAGATTCAGTGTGTGGGTTCTGGTGCTGACTGGCTGACTTGAATCCTGGTTCCCTCACTTCCTGAGTAACTGCACCTCAGTTATGTAATCTGTAAAATGGGCACACCTACCCTTACCTCTCACTTAGGGTGGCTGTGGGAGTTGAAAAGGGCTAGTTGAGCATGCAATAAGTTCTACAGATATGAGCTAGTAGCACTATCTTGGGAAGTTTTCCTAATTTCTCTAGGAAGGCTAGACATGCGGCTAATTCTTCCTGACTCAGAGGAGTGTGGTACGGTACTGATGAGACAGCACCTCTTCTGTGTGTAGCGTAGAGCCTGGAACACTTAGGTACTGAACCGAAGTCGGGTGTGTGTTTTCCCATGAATGGGCAGAAGTGGAGCTTGCAAACGCTTTTTTGCAAGAAGTAGCAGTTATCACTGAGTTGCTAATGACTTAAAGAGAAAAGAATCCCCATTACTGAATAGAGAGACATTACACCCAATAACCAATGAGTCAGGGTACGGCATGGGTGTGATGATTGGGGGACTACATGAGAGAATAAACTCTACAGCGAACCCAACAACCCAGAGCCTCAGGCCACACTTTTCCATGCCAGGGTGCTGTCTTCTCAGGCTGCAGACACACAATAAGATGCTGTTCTCACAGTGCCAGATCACAATCTTTGCTGGGAGGGTCTGTTAGCACCATGAACTTGTTCTGTTCTAACAGCCTGTGCTCACCCTTGTCTAGTGATGATTTAATGCTTTAAGCCTCTGAGATCAGGGCCAAAAATAAAATGGTGGGGAAATCAGACACAGCGCTAGATACCAGCAATATATTTAGGGAACAGGAGCATTTGTTCTGCCCATTTTCAAGTTTCCATTTTCTTTTCTTTATGACCTTCTGGCACGTGGTTGAGACATGGAAGCTTCCAGTAGATTACAGGGTGGAATAAAGGTGTTTCCATAAGTAACACTGCAAATATAATTCATTTTACTATTGATCACTGGGAAGATGGCAGTGAACAGAACAGACAAAACATCCCTGCCCTCTTGAAGCTGGCATTCCAGTGGGGTGGAGGGTTTGGGCCAAAGAATGACAGAAGATGAAAGGGCATTTGTCCTCTCCATGTTTTTCTCTAATAAGAGGCCCTAGGCGAAGTTCTGCTGATGATTGTGTAAACTGAGCCTCTTGCACAATCCCAGTGCAAATCACACTGTGGACGATGTCAGTGGCCCTCCCTAGAGTCATCCATCACCTAACCTGTTTGACCATAAGCTGCAGTCCTGAAGATACAGGGCAGGAGCTAGTGTTGGGTTACATTGAGATGAATACCCAATGCCTCAAATGAGAAACGAAAACATACATAGAACAAAAGGTGCTACCGGTGGGCCCTGCTCTTCTGCTTGCATTCGTCTGAATATCTAACAACAACTGCAGCATCCATCATCTACCGGGAAGCGACAGTGTATCAGAGCCTGTGTCAGGTCACACAGATAACAGGAATTGGGAATCAAGTCATCATGATTAAGCAATTAAAGAGACTCTCTTATTAAACAAAGACCATGGCTAAATATTGAAATTGGGAAAAGGGCTTTTCTTCTCACGGCCTTTGGTTCTACGATTTTTTTTTTTTTAGAGAGATGGGGTCTCATTATGTTAACCAGGCTGGACTCAAACTCCTGGCCTCAAGCCTTCCTCCCACCTGAGCCTCCAGAGTAGGTGGGACTACAGGTGTGTGCCACTATGCCTGTCTTAGTCCTACTATTAACTCTCCTAGAAACACTAGTTTCCACCCTAACTCCTCTCGCTTTCTCCTTCCCTCCTCTCTCTCTCTCTCAAATTCTCCCCATACTCAAACCTACCTCATATGCTGTTTCCAACATGAAACAAAAGCCCCAATGATGCACAAAACAAAGCCTTGTGAATGTCACTCATCCTTGGATTTTTGTAACATCCGCTGCTGGCACCTGACACCCAGTGGAGGCTCAACGACTCTTTTTAGTTTGAAAGAATAACAAGCAGAGAACTTTTTTGGAGCATGTCTTATTCAATTATGTATTTTTTTTTAAAACCCATGACTTTGAATTATGATTCTAGATACTGATATTTATATTTTTTAAGCCCCAAGTTTTTTGTATCATTAGAACAAAGTTTAGTTGTAACAGAGTCTCAAACTAACAGCAGCATACCCCCAGTAGAAGTGTCCTGCTCTCTCATATATAAATCTGAAGGGAAGAAGTCTAGAGCTAATGGGAGGCTTTTGCAGGTCAAGTCCCCAGAGGCCAAGGCTCCTTCCAGATTTTGGCCCTGCCTTCCTTAGGATGTGGCCCAGGTTCATGTAATCCAAGTCGACTGCCAGGACTGTCATCATGCTATTCACCTTCCAACCAGCAGGAAGGAGAAAGGAACAACAAATGAAAACAAACAAATAAATAAACAAGGGTCTGAGCTAGCTGTCTTTTTAGGAAAGATATTATAATGTACTGGCCAAAGCTTAGATATATGGCCAAATCTAGTGACAAGGGAGGCTGTAGTCTTTATTCTCAGGGACTGTATGTCCAACTCAAATGATGTATATGTGCTTTTTTTGGTTGCTATTCTAATTCTTCCTTCTCCGAAATGAGGAAGCTAGTCTGGCTAGGAACTTGCCATGAGGGTATAGCAGCAGGAACCCTCATTTATATCCCAAACCAAGCCCTCATTTATATCCCAAACCTAGCCCTGCTAGAAAGCTCAGCATTTGGTGCCATTGAATGTTGGCTAGGTTATTCATTCATATCCGTTATTAATAAAGCAGTGGCCTGCTTCCTGCTTGGCGGGTATTCCTTATGTGAAAATCTCCCTCTGTTAGGACCCTTTTAGGGAGAAGAGGTGAATGGCAAAGCACTGTGATCTCAAGCTTTGCACCATTAGCCCATAATTGAAACCTCATCCCCACCTCTAATAGGCCCTACATTGTGTAATGCGCTATGTAGAGCTGCTGTCATTCATTCATCACAAAATCCACATGTGATTTTTGTTATCCCCACATTACAGAAGAGGAAGCAGAGATGCTGAAGGTAGACTATCTTTCTCAAGCTCACTGTGCTCTCTCAGAAGAGGCAGAACACAGGCTCCAAAGCCAGTCTCTTGACTTCAGCCACTAATTTAACTCCAGCTACATTTTATCCCCTCTTCTCTCATTTTTCCCTTGTTTTAACTTCTTCATGAAATTACATATTTTATTTTTGCATTTCGTTTAATCTCACTTTATTGTTCTTGTTTTTATTGTTATTTTTATAATCCCACTAAATTCTTACCAGAACAATGAAAAACATGAATTGTCCCATATCATTGTGGATGCCCATGTCTTCCCCACTGAACTCTGAGTTCTCTGAATTCCGTGACTGGGCCTTTCTTTCTGCAACCTCGGTACCTCCTCCCAGCCTTGGCACATGGTTGGCTCTCAGTCCATACTGGAAAAAAGGATGCAGTTCCACCTCCACCTCCTTCTCCAGACCTAGCCAGCAAGTTGGAATTCCAGTCCCTGGTGGGACAGTCATTGGTTTTTTGAGCAATCTCTGGCTGGTTGAGGATGGGTTTTCTTTGATCTGTCTGGGTGATCTCTGGGGACTAATGAAGCCAAGCTGGGCCAGCAGATTTGGTCAGCATCTGGGACCATGGTTCCATGTGGTAATTGGAACATGACTCCAAAGGAACTGTGTCCATCATGCCTGGACCTATTATTTCATTATGGTGACTGAGCTTCCGGAATATTGCAACCCCTGCCTTACCACACCATGTCTTTCTGTGGGAGAGTCTTTCATCATTGTTTCCCATGGTGTCCAGTCTGAGTATCTCAAAATAACTTGCCTTTATTGGCTGTTGTTCAATAAGTTAATCTGTACTCATTCATTTGATCTTGGCAATAACCCCTTGAGCTAGAAACTAATATTATCTGCCTGTTATGGATGAGAAGACCAACACATGTAATGAGGGCAGTTAGCTTTCTCAAGGGCACACACTGGCAGAGCTGGGGCTCAAATTCCAGTGTTTCAGCCCCAGAACCCGGACTCTTAACCACTCCATTATATGGAGGCAACCAAAACATGGTAGCCACACAGGTGTAGAGCATACTGTCATGCTCAGCATGCTTCCTCGCAATGTAGCATTGACCATATGGGAGGCACAAATTACCAACATGTGGGCCTTTCTTGACCAGTGTCGTGCTACTCTGAAATGATAGAAGATATGAAGTTGGTTGTCAACTGTAGTGTTTTGACTTACACACACTTAGGTCTGGTTTTTAGCTCTGTAACTGGGTGAGGCAGCATCTTTCAAGCTATCTGTCCACCTTCTAATGCCACCTTAACTGAGTTCTTCACCCACAGTGATCAATCCCCACGAGGCCGTATTATATCATATGACCCCATCCACCTGCAGCCTCTGATATGTGACTAGGATTAAACACTTGACAGAAGCTAAGCCAATAGAAATTTTGTGCCCAGGATTCTGAGAGGGAGAGTTGCTCTATTTATCTATTTAGATGTCTTTTTTTTTTTTTTTTTTGAGACAGGGTCTTGCTCTGTCACACAAGCTGGAGTGCAGCGACGTAATCATAGCTCATAGCAGCCTCAAACTTCTGAGCTCAAGGGATCTTCCTGCCTCAGCCCCCTGAAGAGCTGGGACCACAGGTATGAACCATAATGTCCACCTAATCTTGTTACTATTTATAGTGACAGGATCTTGCTATGTTGCCCAGGCTGAACCTAAACTCCTGGGCTCAAGCGATCCTTCTGCCTCACCCTCTCAAGATGCTGGGATTACAGGCATGAGCCACTGTGTCTGGCCTATTTTTGTGTTTTAATCTTTAATATGAAAGTTTGGTGGTGGTCATCTTTGATCACTCTACACATGAGAAAAAGAAAGCTATGAAGCTAAGGGGCAGATAAGACAGTAAACGTAAGCCACATTTTTCTAGCTGTTCATTCTTGCCCCTTCCCAAAATCCACCTGCCCCTCTATCTTTGGTAGACCATCTAGTGCTTTATTTTTCCCTTGAGATAGCCTCTGGATTTTATTACTTGTAACCGAAAAGACACAACCTCTGTTCGCTCCACCTGGAACATAAATTTCTAAGCTTTTTGCAATGTTAACTCCTTATGTAATTCAGCTTCTAAGTTTTGCCTCAAATCCACCATTTACATGGAGTTCTTAAAGCACTGTAATTACTTAATAATATTTAATAGTGAATGGATAAATGAAATCTTACCAATACTTAACGTTACTTTGAGAAAATTCATTCACATCTCTGAACCTCAGTTTCCCCAACTGTGAAACAGAAGCATAGAGAGCCAACCTCAACAAGGCAGCTGCGGAGACTGAAAATAAGGTGTGCAAGGTGCCCGGCACAGAGGAAACACTCAGTGAACAGCAGCCACTCTGGACAATGATCTGCAGGCATCCCCAGTGATAGGCAATTGATTCCTGCCCCAGGTAATGTCCTCTTTCTATGTCTTGGCTCGAACCTCCAGCAGGGTGAGACTGTGGAAAAAGGAATAATCTGAAATTAGATTTGCCCCTATGATTCCCAAATCAGAATCCATTTTCATTTGATGTCTCTATGCCCTGAGTAGAGCAGCTGTGCCGGGGATTAAATAAGGGGGACAGATCTGTCTTCTAAAGAAAGGAGAATTTTCCATACTGGTCTGTCAGGATATTTGCTTTCCCACTGTTTGTCTGGGTTGGATCCCAGATTTGCTGTCACACTGGCCTCCTCCCTTGCAATAGCCAGAGATCATATTAAGCGTCCACTCATGGAATTGAGAGGAGAGATAGAAATGCATTAGTGTCAAGATCTCCAGGGTGCATCTAAAATAAATATGATTCCTCTCTTCCCACTCCTCACACCATATGCGGGGGACACCCAGTGTTTATTTTTCAGCTGCGCCAGCCAGTCTGGAAGAGGACACCATGGAAATGGGAGAAAAAGGATCAGGGTGGTGTAACATATCACTGGGGGAAGTTTAGGGCCCATCACTCAACAAATAACAAGTCAACAACCCCTGTCGCTTGGATATCCCCTGTGAAAGCTGCATCACCCTGTTTCACAATAACTTTAATCTGACTGTGTAAATTCAAGAAGTTCCCATGGCTTGTAAATGACTGGCACAAAGTGGCCCGTTAAAATAATTCAGGTTCTTTGCAAAGAAAAAAAAATGGGGGCAGCTTTAAAATAAACCACAATGCATAAGTCACCAATATGTCAGATGTTGGTGGAAACCAGCAAACTAAACTTATATTGTGAGGCCATACACAATTTTTTTCTTTAATCAGCCTGCTTTCCTCTCATGGGTGATTGGAGCTAAATTTTATAATGTGGTAGAAAAGACGCATTGGTGTTAACTTAATGTGGAGTTAACTTGTAGTACATTATGTAACTTCGGGCAAGTAACTTTTACGTGAAACTCAGATTGCCCATCTAGAAAATGAGAAAATTGGACAGTAGGTAGGAGAGTATATATTTGGCTCACAGGTCATAACTCTCTATTGTCGCATCCACAACAGACATCACTAGTCACTCATTTTATTTATTTTTCCTGTTGAACCCAGATGAGGTCTCAGGATTTATCTCAGCTGAGAGTTTCAGGGAGCCACTACCCACTGATAAAAGATAGACTTTGAGAAGAAGCTTCTCTGTCATTCCTACAGCAGATGATTCTTGAACGTTCTTTGCATTGCACAAGCACTGTGTCATGTGGGCAATCGGACATGCCACCTCCACCCTACATAAATTTGTAGAGGTACTTCTTACCTTCATACCTTCAACCAAACTCGGTAAGCTGCCTTTGAAATAAGTTCATTAGGAGGTAAGATTTCCAAATAATACTTTGCACTCAAGTCTCAAGTTTTTGTTTGTTTGTTTGTTTTTATTCATCAAATTGCTCATCCCATGAAAGCTTCAGGAGGAGATGTAACTAATTGCATGGGAGAACTACATGGAGATGGCCTCAGAGCAATTCACAGGACTGTTCTGAATTGTCAAGATCTGCCTTGGATCCAGAAGACCTGGAAGCTTTACCAAACTTATACATGAAATTTCTCCACAGACCCCAGCTCAGCCCCACCGACTTGGTAGTGACTCTTTTTTTTTTTTTTTTTTTTTTTTTTTTCAGATGACCAATGAAAGGATCGGTCTGCCTCTCCAAAGTCCTCAGAAAGAATACCAAAATTGTGGCTAGGTCTGAGAAAGTTTTTATACAATGTCATGGGATTGGTAAATCCATTGTAGCACTGGCTTATCTGTCAAGGCTGACATATGGCAGGGTAACGCTTCCTTCCCTAAGCATTTTTCTTTGGTGAAAGAGAAACTCTGGTCCCTATGAGAAAAGAATATGAGACTGACTCAGAGTCCTATTCATGTTTGATGCTACTGGGCACAGCTGTTTCTGGCTTCAAGGCATCTATCACATCTATGACTTTTTCTCCAGCAACCCCTGTGATAAAGTTCATGAAACTAGAATCCCCATAGAAGAATGGTGGCTGGCACTATACTTTGGGGACACAAGTTGTGAAACTCTCAGTGGCCCAGCATCCAAATTTCTATTGTGCAGAGTCTTCTCTGATTTTGGAAAATGCCTTACAAAGTTAGGATGTTGAGACGAGGCTCATGGTGATGACACAGGCAGGTTTGTTTATGGAGTGGGGACAAATATTTTGAATCCTGCTTGCTGTTTGTTTTGTCTAATGTACACATAAAACTCAGAATGATGTTACCAGGGATATTGCACATCAAGCACTTAGCACGGTGTCTGGCAGGTGGAAAGGGCTCAGTAATGGGAGATACTGAGTGGATAATTACAATAGCATCTTAAGTAGGCTTCCTGCCTCTAACTTTAACCTTCTCTGTTCCTCCCTCTAAGCAAGAGTGAAGATGATGACGATGACGATGATGATGATAAGGGTAGTAATTGGTTTCCCGTTATCAAGCACCCACTGCATGCCAGTAAGTGTTTGCTTGCACCACCTCATTCAATCCTTTCAATGGTTATCAATATTATTATGCCAATGTGAACATTGCAGAAAATGAGGCAGAGAGAGGTTGTGTTCACTTGCTAAAGTCTTGCAGCTTGTAACTGTATGAGCCAGGATTTGAACCCCACCCCTCCTCTTAAGCACTTTGCTATGCTGTCTTTCATTCACCCATCCAATTATTACCTGTTGAGGGCCTACTACCCTCTTAGTATATGGTCTACCCTGTTCAAGCCTGGTATAGACTGAGTGTTAACTATATGGTAGAAATTATTGTTATTAGTTATTATTTTTATTTAGATAATTTTGCCTCATAAGGGAGGCTGAAATAATTATAATATTTGTCCTGAAAAGTGTAGCCAGAGAGTATGATATGAAAGGATGCACATTGCATTAGGACCCATGAGTCCTGGCTTCTAGTTCCAGCTCCCATCCCCACTCACTGTGCTACATTAAGCAGGGCATTTCCCCAATCTGGGCGCCGGGTATCACGGGTTACCTCTCAACTCAGCTGTTACAAGTCCCTTCCGTCTAGAGGAGAGCATCAAAGCCAGGAAAAACTAAGCTTCCCTAAACCTGCAGTGCTTTACCTGATGGAGCCAAACTCCATGTAGCAAACCTAAAACCTTGATGCTGTGTAAATTGGCACATACACACAGCTTCCACGTGGTGATGACTATCAAAACAAGCTTTTGTCTACCCCACAGGGTCAGCCTCCTTTCTGAAAATCAAGCAGCTGACTGAGTCCAGGTCAAAGTCCCAGTGGGAGTGAGAGCCCAGAGCAAAGCGTGCACTTACATTCCATGATGATGATGCTTGGTGATGAATGAACCAGCTTCTTGGCAGGAAGGAAGTTCCTACAGGTTGAGGTGATCCTCCTAGCAATGTGTTTATTTGACAGCCTAAGGCAGCAAAAATTCACAGAGAAGAGAAAAGAGAGAAGAAAAGGGCATAAAAGAAAGGTTATTTAAGAACATCAGGATCCTCCCTGGCCAGCCAAACACTCATAAAACTAGAGCAGAAGATCATATAAACACATTGTGAAAAAATAAGGTAATCGGAGACTAAAAAGGTCCTAGAGAGGTATTAAGGCCAGGAAACATGTACTTTCTCTACCTTAGTACTTAGGCTCATTAATTTTTATTTAATCTACTTGGCACATAATAAATACTCAAGAAATATTTGTGAAATGAATGAACTACAGGAAGAAATCATTGTTGACTATGGCTGCCAATGACGGTGTCACAGGTTAAATGGGTGGTGGGAGCTGGGTACAATTTGAATTGCTAGAAAAAGAAAATAATTCAGAAAGACCATCAATTTTAACAAAGATCCCCATGAGAGAACAAACTTGGCTTGTTCTGTTGGGAGTTAAATTATTCAAAAGAGCCTAGACTATTTTGCAGACAATTTCCCTGGAATTTTAGTGATTCAATATCATAAAGGTTGATTTCTTATTCATGTTGTATGCCCAGCAGGTAATGTAAGGGGGCTCTGCTCCACATAGCCATTCAAGGATCCAGGATGATGGCAGGATCCGTTGACTACTTAGTCTTAGCTGCATCATCTGCAATATTAGTCCGCCATGGTCACCACAGAAGGGGAAGAGAGCTCATGGAGAACCCACATCTGATTTGTGTGCTTTGGCATGGGAATGACATGTATTCCCTCTTCTCTCAGCCCAATAGACAGAATTGGACACATGGCTCCACCTGACTCTAGTAGGCTGGGACGTACAAAGAACCCATGGCTCTGTTTCATAGCAGTCATTAGGAGAGCAACCTGCTAGAGTGGTAAACACATTTTAGGTAAGGTAGAAAAATAATTAAGTATTTGTAGTTCTGCTATGACAATGCATGACCTAGAAGTATCTCCAATAACATAGGAAAACCCCTTCTATGGTGTGCCAAAATTTGTCAATATATTAAAAGAAATCTTCATTCTTTTCATTTTATGATTTCAAAGCTGTTAGAAAAGGACTCCAGTCTTTTGAGTCCATAGCCTCTTCTCAATGACATATGAGTGAATTCAGGTGCCTGCAAAAATTAATTCTTAGGGAGGGCAGAGATTCTAAACTTACATAGAGCTGGGTCCAAATTCCAGCTCCACCACCCTCCTCAAGGCCCTTAATCTTCATCTCTGCATTCATTCATTTGGTTAATATTTACTATGCACCAGCCCATTAATCAAGAAAGATAAAAGGGAAATACTCTGACACAATTCTTATCCTCAGTAAGTCTTCAGATTATTGGATAACAACTAAATGAAATGGACTGATACAATTAATATTAATATTTTTAAAATGTCTATACTACCCAAAGCTATCTATAGTTTCAATACCATCCTATCAAAATCCCAATGGCATTTTTTTTTTGCAGAAATAGAAAACAAATTCTAAAATTCTTATGGAACCACAAGTTACCCAGAAACCAAAGCACTATTGAACAAGAAGAACAAAGCTGGAAGCATCACCCCTTCCTAATTTGAAAATATGTTTCAAAGCTACAGGCATTAAAACAATACAGTACTGGCATAAAGACAGACATGTAGACCAATGGAACAAACAGAAAGCCCAGGAATAAACTTGTGATTATATAGTCAATTGATATTTGACAAGGGTCCCAAGAACACACTTAGAGAAAGAGTATTCTGTCCAATAAATGGTGTTGGTAAAACTGGATATCCATGTGCAAAAGAATGAAAGTGGACCCTTATCTTACACCATACACAAAAACAAACTTAAAATGAATTAAATATTTAAATTAAGATCTGAGGCTATAAAGCTCCTAGGAAAAAATGGGAAAAAGTGTCCTTGATATTGACATTGGCAATGATTCCTTGGATATGGCACCAAAAGCACAAGCAACAAAAGCAAAAACAGACAAATTGGACTATATCTAACTAAAAACCTTCTTCACAGAACAAAAAAACTTCAAAATGATAATACAACTAACAGAACGGGAGAAAATGTTTGCAAACCATAGCTGTATATATCATTAAGGGTTGATATCCAAACGATATAAGAAACTCCTACAATTTACTAGGAGAGAGGGAGAGAAAGGGAGAAAGGAGAGGAGAGGAAGGAAGGGAGGGAGGGAGGGAGGGAGGGAGGGAGGGAAAGAATGAAAGAAAGAAAGAAAGAAAGAAAGAAAGAAAGAAAGAAAGAAAGAAAGAAAGAAAGAAAGGAAGGAAGGAAGAGAGAGAGAAAAAAGAAAGAGAAAGAGAGAGAGAAAGAAAGAAAGAGAGACAGAAAGAAAGAAAGGAAGGAAGGAAAGAAAAGAAAAGGAAAAGAAAAGAAGAGAGGAAGCAAAGAAATAAAGAAGAAAAGAAGGGAAGAAGGGAGGAAGAAAAGAAGAAAGGAAGGAAGGAAGTGAAGAAGAACCAGATTTTTCAAGGAGTAAAAGACTTGAATAGACATTTTCCCAAAGAAAACAAACCAATGACCAATAGCTATGAAAAGATGCTCAACATCATCAGAGAAATGCACATCAAAACCACAATGAGATCTCACCTCACACCTGTCAGGATGGCTATTGTCTTAAAAAGATAACAAGTTTTGGTGGGGATGTGGAAGAAAGAGAACTCTTGTATAATTTTGGTCAGAATGTAAATTGGTGCAACCACTATGCAAAACAGTACAGAGGTTGCTCAAAAAGTTAAAAATAGGTCATCATGGCTGGGCATAGTGGCTCACACCTGTAATTCCAGCAGTTTGGGAGGTCAAGACAGGTGGATCTCTTGAGGCCAGGAGTTTGAGTCCAGCCCAGGCAACATGATGAGACTCTGTCTCTAATAAAAATTAAAAAATTAGCTGGGTGTGGTGACACATGCCTGTAATCCCAGCTATTTGGGAGGCTGAGGCAGGAGAATCACTTGAATCCAGGAGGTAGAGGTTACAGTGAGCTGGGATGGTGCCACTGCACTCCAGCCTGGGTGACAGAGCGAGACTGTCTCAAAATAAATAAATAAATAAATAAATAAATAAATAAAAATAGATCATTATATAATCCAGAAATCCCACTTCTGGGTGTATATCCAAAGGAATTGAAATCGGAATTGCATTATTCACAATAGCTAAGACATGAGAGCAATCTAAATGTCCACTGACAGATAAACAGATAAAGAAAATTGGTATATACATATAATGAATTGTTATTCAGCCTTAAAAAGCAAGAAAATCCTGCCATTTGAAACAATGTGGATGAACTTGGAGGATATTATGGTAAGTGAAATAAGCCAGGCACAGAAGGACAAGTACTACATGAACCCACTTCTATGAAGAATCTAAAATAGTCAAACTCACAGAAGCAGAGAGCAGAGTGGTGATTGCCAAGCCTACAGGGAGGGTGAAACGGAGAGATGTTGGTCAAATGATACAAAGTTTTGATTATGCCAGATAAATAAGTCCTAGATATCCAGAGGACAACATAGTAGCTATAGTTAAGAATATTCTATTGTATACTAAAAATATGCTAGAAGGATAGATCTTACATTGTCTTCTTATCACAGTAATAATAACCATATCAAACAAAGAGGGCAGAAGGAAACTTTTGGAGGTGATTGAAATGATTATGGTGTTGATTGTGGTGATAGCTTCACAGGTGTACACTTATCTCCAAACTCATCAAGTTGTGTGCATTAAAGATGCACAGCGTTTCAATGTGAGTCATAACTCAGTGATTTGGCTTAAAAATGGACTGACAATAAAGTAAGAAAGACAGAAGTTAGATTTAAAGGGAAAATTCTGGTGCCTCAAAATTGCTGAGGTTCTTGAAATGGGAAAAGGCAATGAGCCTCCTCACTTCAAAGGACATTAGAGATATTTTTAATAACAATATCTTTAATCTCAGGATTCTATTCCCAGCATTGGTCCACCCAATCTCCTTGCTAACTGGGCAGATCCCTGCTTCTAGAAAGAAGGCTGTTAATTCTTTCTTTCTTTCTTTCTTTTTTTTTGAAACAGAGGCTTGCTCTGTCACCCAGGCTGGAGTGCAGTGGTGTGATCTCGGCTCACTGTAACCTCTGCCTCATGGGTTCAAGCGATTCTCCTAGCTCAGCCTCTGAATAGCTGGGACTACAGGTGCGTGCCACCACACCCACCTAATTTTTGTATTTTCTGTAGAGACAGATTTCACCATGTTGACTAGGCTCGTCTTGAACTCCTGACCTCAAGCGATTCACCTGCCTCAGCTTCCCAAAGTGCTGGGATTACAGGCATGAGCCACTGCGCCCAGCTGAAGAATGTTAATTTTTTTTGCTTGTTTTATTTTTATTCAAGATCAAAGTTTAAACAAATGGAGTAATGATAGTTTTTCTAGAAAAACATGAACATCATTATTTGATAATGAAAATGTCTTTACTGTTAAAGAAACACTGAACGCTTTTACACTGTTAGTGGGAGTGTAAATTAGTTCAACCATTGTGGAAGACAGTGTGGCAATTCCTCAAGGATCTAGAACCAGAAATACAATTTGACACAGCAATCCCATTACTGGGTATACCCAAAGGATTATAAATCATTCTACTATAAAGACGCATGCACATGAATGTTTATTACAGCACTGTTCACAATAGCAAAGACTTGGAACCAACCCAAATGCCCATCAATGATAGACTGGATAAAGAAAATGTGGCACATATACACCATGGAATCCTATGCAGCCATAAAGAAGGATGAGTTCATGACCTTTGCAGGGTCATGGATGAAGCCTGAAACCATCATTCTCAGCAAACTAACACAGGAGCAGAAAACCAAACACTGCATGTTCTCACTCATAAGTGGGAGTTGAACAATGAGAACGCATGGACACAGGCAGGGGAACATCACACATTGGGGCCTGTTGGGGGGTGGGGGGCTAGGGGAGGGATAGCATTAGGAGAAATACCTAATGTAGATGATGGGTTGATAGGTGCAGCACACCAACATGGCACATGTATACCTATGTAACAAACCTGCATATTCTGCACATGTATCCCAGAATTTAAAGGCTGTTAATTCTTAACACGCCTATCTCTAGAGGTCAGTCTAGAGATCTCTGACAAAATCGAAGTTTCAAATCATTAATCTCACAAATAAAATGACTCTAAAATTGTTAGAAAGGCACTGGCCATGGTAATCCTATTTAGAAACTAAGAATAAATAAATGTAACTTACAAAGTAGAGCTGAGTGTTAAGGGTAATTATAGATCTTCCAGAGTTTCCAACATATAATAGCTTCTATGACAGATTGTATAGATAAAACAATCTGTCCTAGTTAGGAAGCTAAAAAGCTTAGGCTGGAATTTACAACGCATCTTCCACATTTAAAGTTCTTGCTGACAACAGCTACAAGGCACTGCCTCCTATGTGCCCGGTACAACCCCTGCAGCATGGGAAGTGTCCGAGTAAACACCAGCTGATTGAATAAAAGACTGCTGCGACGAAGTCAGCTTAGGCACTCTGGAAGACCTGGGAGGGGCATGAGCAAAGCAGTCTAGGCCAGTGGTTCTCAAACTTTGGTTCCTGGATCAGTCATCCAGGGAAATTATTAGAAATGCAAATTCTCAGGCCCTCCACCCAGACCTACTGAAGCCGAATCTCCAAGGACGGGGCCCAGGAGTGTGTGTTTCAGCAAGCCTTCTGGGTGATTCTGATGCGCAATAAGAATTGAGAACCATTGCTATAGAACCTTGCTTCTCAAAGTGTGGTCTGTGTATCAGTGGTATCATTGTCACCTGGGAGCAAACAAGAAATGCAGAATATCAGATCTCACCTCGTACTTACTGAATCAGAATCTTCGTTTTAACAACATCTTCACTCAGAGAGTTCATTTGCAACTTAAAGCTTAAGAAGCACTGATCTTGGCCATTGGTTTTCAAACGTAGCTGCTCGTTAGAATCGCACGGACAGAAACTGGCGTGGTTATTCTGGGATGTGACCTGAACATCAGGATTTTCTAAAATTCCCCCAGATGATTCTAACATGCAGCAAAGTTTGAGAATCACAAGTGTCCATGACTTTAAAAAGGCTTTCCAGAGAAGGCAGCATCTAAGCTCAGCCCTGGCCCCCAAGTCTGGGTGTTTCCAGGAGAGAGAGAGAGAGAAACAGCCAGATTGTTTTGGGTGCTGCTACCACCACTGTCTCTACCTGTCTTCAGTCAAAGAGGGAGGCCTCCCAAATCAAGGGCTGTCAATCCACCCACATCAACAGCCTCAAATTCACTAAAATGCTTGAGGCAAGGGTTCAGAGCGAGGGCAGAGTAAGGGAGAGGTTTTATTAGATAAAGCCTGCATTCTCTGAGCTGTGCATTTATTAATTTCAAAGTAGGCTGAATGATGGGGGAGGGCTAGGGGAGCAGCGTGGGTAATAAAAGCGCTTTCAGAGAGTGCCCTCTTGCTTCTTGGAATGTCTTCCACCCCGACCCTCCCAATGGCAGTCCTAAAGGAAGGTCACCCTGGGATCATCTCACCTTTGACGAGGCTGGCCAGGGATGCTGCTGAGAATGAAATAAACTCTTCTCTCTTTTGCTTGGAGAAAAGAAATCATGGGTAGTAAAAGCCTACGACTCACATGGAGGGGTCATCAGTGGGGCCAGAGATAGAAGGCAGGGGAGTTTGGAGGAGGTGGTGGGGAAGGCAAAGGTGGGAGGAAGGAAGAAGGAGTGGCAAAAGCAATGTCAGACAACAAAGGTCCAAATGTTTCAGAGTTGGCTTCCTCGGCTCCAACACTAGAACTGTTTCTGTTGCACCCACTCCCCCAACCTCCCCCTCCTTCCTTTCCTCATATCATCTCCAATGACTAATTATTTTGACCTTCCTCAACCCGATCTGCAATATCTCAAGTCTCTGTCATAGTCGGCTTCCGGCCACCGTCGGTCAGATGACTCTAAGCACACAAGGCCAGGGTCGCCTTGCCAAATGGCAGCAAAGCATGGCCAAAAGCAGAGTCTCGAAATACCCCCAGGGCCCACTTTTTGCTCTCATTCCTTCCTTTCCCTTTCCCCTAAAATAATCTTTATCTTAATTGTGGATTATTCTCTCCCTCTTTTGGATCTCTCTTTTCTAGGCACCAGTCAAAAGAGAAGTAGGAGGCAATGATAAAGCGACAACGTAGGTTTTTAGTCACCTTACCTGAATGAGTTTGTCACATGACCACTTTTCACAAGTATTCCTTCAGAACAAATACGATGCCATTCCCTTCCCACCACATGTTCTTGGAATTCCTTTTTGAACATGGCCTTTGGAAATGTCTAAATGGGCATTTACAATTGAGGCACAAAAAACATTATTATTCATTGAGGCTTTTTCCTTTTCTTTTTTTTCTTTCTTTTTTTTTTTTTTTGGAGACAGAGTCTCGCTCTGTTGCCCAGGCTGGAGTGCAGTGGCGTGACCTCAACTCACTGCAACCTCTGCCTCCCAGGTTCAAGTGATTCTTGTGCCTGAGCCTCCTGAGTAGCTGGGACTGTAGGTGTGTGTCACCACGCCTGGCTAATTTTTTGTATTTTTAGTAGAGACAGGGTTTCCCCATGTTGCCCTGGCTGGTTTTGAACTCCCAAGCTCAGGCGATCCACCCGCCCTAGCCTCCCAAAGTGCTAGGATTTCAGGCCTGAGCCACCGTGCTCAGCCCATTTATCTATTTTTTTTTTTTGGCAAAATATCATGATTGCATTTTAGTTGTTGGACTCTAGATTAGTATAACCAAGTAAATCATCTATTTATTTTTAATGATTATTTCTCTGTGATATTTTATTCTTTCCCCAAGTTAAATCTACTCTCAAAGATTATAGATCTTGTCACCAGTAAAAAAAATTATTCCAAAAAATTAAGCAAGATTTTTTGTATTACACTCCTCTTCCCTTCTCCACTCAGAAAAGAACTTCTACAAATACTCTGAATAATGATCAAATCTTCAAGTGTCAAGACTCCGACAGGAAACTATTTCAGGGCAGAACCGATTGGTCGGGCATGACCTCTAAAATCACAAACTAAAACAAGCATTAAGGGTTTTCTTAGTCACTATTAATGAACTCAGTTCCACTTCCTCTTTTATCTTCATAATAGTATCTGGGACAATCCCCAGCTCTTAGCAACTCGAATTTTCCAGGCATCTGTCCTCCTCAGGATAGGCAACAAAAGGAACAAGCACATACTTGACTCAATATTATATTATGTGCTTTTCTTCTCTGTTTTATTTTTGCTCTTTGACTCATCTCCTCTCCTACCCTGAAAGGAAAGATCATTTAACACCAGGTTAAATTAATTCCATAAGTGTTTTCTGCATGTAAGGCCCTGTTTCACATGGTGTGTGGGAATCTCTGGCCACCTAAGATGTGCTTTCTTATGTTTTCCGCTAGCACACCTATAGGAAGAAATGGGGTGGAGATGCTGTGTTGAGAAGGATTCTGAGGTCCATACTCACTGAGAAAGTGCATTTATGGTTTTTCCCCCCCCCCCCTTATCTTTAATAGACACTCAAATATTTGCTGCCTGGATAAATGGAAAGAGAAAAGAGAGAGAGAGAAAGAAAAAGAAAGAAAGAAAGAAAGAAAGAAAGAAAGAAAGAAAGAAAGAAAGAAAGAAAGAAAGAAAGAAAGAAAGAAAGAAAGAAAAGAAAAGAAAGAAGGGAGGGAGGGAGGGAGGGAAGGAAGGAAAGAAGAAAAGGAAGGAAGGAAGAGAAAAGGAAAGAAAGAAAGAAAGGAGAGAGGGAGGAGGGAGGGAGGGAAGGAAACAAGGAAAGGAAGGAAGGAAGAGAAAAGGAAAGAAAGAAAGAAGAAAGAAAGAAAAGAAAAAAGAGAAGGGAAGAAGGAAAGAAAGAAAGAAAGGGAGGGATGGAGGAAGGAAAGAAGGAAGGAAGGAGAAAGAAAGAGAAAGTAGGAAAGAAAGAAAGAAAAAGAGAGAGGGACGGAGGGAGGGAGGAAGGACGGAAAAGAAAGAGGGGGAGGTAGGTAGGGAGGGAGGGAGGGAGGAAGGAAGGAAAAAAGAAAGAAGAAAGAAAGAGAAAGAAAGAGAAAGGAGGAAAGAAAGAAAGGAATGAAGAAGAAAGGAAGGAAGGAAAAGAAGAAAGAAAGAGGGAGGGGGGAAGGAAGGAAGGAAAGAAGGAATGAAGAAAGGAAGAAAAAGAAAGAAAGAAAGAAAAGGAAGAAAGAAAAGAAAAGATAGAGAAAGAAAAAGGGAGGGAAAGAAGGAAAGGGTAAGGAAGGAATGAAGAAAGGAAGAAGGGAGGAAGGAAGGGATAAAGCAAGGAAGGAAGATGGTGAGTGAATGAATACCTGAGCAGTGAGATCTACCCCTTAGGCAAGAGGAAATGAATCATATCACAACCATGGATTTCAAGTGAACATTTTGAGAAGTATCAATCCCAGATGTTTGCTGGAACATGCTCCCTTCCTATTTCCATCCCATTTTGAAAGTCACAGTGTAGGTAGGATCCCCATGGATATTGTTTATTTTGAAGTATATTCTACCTCATTCTGCTGAAACACACTGGCCACACAGGAAAGTCAAGGAAAGACTGAGGAATTGCTCCGGATTGGAAGGAAGCTAAAAGAAACAAGAAAACCAAATGTAACGTGTGATTCTTTGGCTACAAACACATCACTTTTTTTCTTTCTGAGATGGGGTATCCTAGTGGTGTGATCACAGCTCACTGTTGCAACCTCGACCTCCTGGGCTCAAGCAATCCTCCTTCCTCAACCTCCCATGTAGCTAGGACTACAGGTGCACACCACCACAGCTGGTTAATCTTTTTACTATGTGTGGAGATGGGTCTTGCTATGTTGCCCACGCTGGTCTTGAACTCCTAGGCTCAAGCAACCCTCCCACCTCAGCCTCCCAAAGTGTTGGAATTACAGGTGTGAGCCACCGTGCCAGCCTACAAACACATCATAGAGACAATAGGCGAAACTTGAATGACATCTGAGAACTATAGGGTAACAATGTGTCAATACTACTCTTCTGAATTTAATAGTTATATTTTTATTATAAAGGGAAATGCCCTTGATTTTAGGAAATAAATATTAAATTGTTGGGGCTAAAAAATATAAACCTTGACCTAAAATGTAAGTGTACATCTTCTCCTATTGCTTCCAATATAAAGATAGAACTTACACCAGAAAATATACTCAGAGTTTCCTAATAAACATCTTTTCCGTAAAAAAAAAAAAGTAGACATAAATATGCAGAAGAGATGAATTTAATCTACTTATATCCAGCTTGATGTGCTAAGGAGAAACTTTCCAACGCCCGTGAAATATGGTCCCAAAGGAGAGTGTACTTTTTAGAAGCCATCGAACGTTGAGGCAAAGGAATGGACTTACAATTTTACGAAGTCTTAGGTCTTAGAATATTATGAGTTGTCACATCCTGGGGCAGTCACAGAGATTTCATGGCTTTTACCCTCCAAGAGCAAGAATTCCAGGCACGTTTCAAAAATAGTGTCTTACCATGAAATACACCTGTCAAAGTTCCTTCTTACTTTGAAAGATGTCTTTTTTTAAAAAAAAACCCCAATGGAAGAAACGTCCTTAATTCACAGTTCTCAGGGTCAGATTTTTGTAAGGAAGTTTTGGTGAACAAATAACTGAACAGATGCCGGAAAACCTAAGACTTTCATTTGAGTAGAGGAGAGGGATTTATTAGACCACTAGATTAAAATTCCTGTATTTAAGACATATTTCACAAACACTTAATGGGGTTTTCCCACCCGTTAAGAGCAAACTAAGGGCACAATGTTCCATTTTAATAGGGGCAGTAACTCCATTTCATTTATAGACTAAACGGACAGGAAAAAAAAAAATACAAGGGCAGTTCTCGCCAGAGAAAACATGACCTAATACAAGGGCTCAGGCAATGTATTAGAAATAAAGGCCTGTCTGTAGCCCTGGCCATTTCTTTTCCTTTTTTCTATTTTTGGGAGGGGGTGGTGATTTGGAAGAAAAAAATTCTGTGGTTGATATCCAATGAAGTTAACACTTCTCGGCCAGGACTTCTATTACATGCAAACATCATGAATTATAATTAGAGAACAGCCTATTTACACATGAAGGTACACTGGGTCAAGTGAAAAACTCTGCCAAGAATCTCAGCTTTTGGCTGAGAAATATTGGCAATTGGCATAAAGAAAATGGTCCTGGAATGGGACAGAGCTGGGAGGAGCCAGGAGATCTAGTTTTCAATCCATGTGACATTAGCAAATGGATGTATTGACATGCAAAGATTTCCCAGTAGATTAAGTTAAAAATAGCAATGTATAAAAAGATGTAAAGTATGATTTTGTTTTTTATTAAGAAAGACAGTGAATGTCTGTGTTTTTATGTGTACCTAAAAAATCAGACTTATGCCTACTGGATTACCAAAGTGTTTATTCTTGGTAGGCAGAGTTACTAGAATATGTCCACTTGCCATATATGTCATATTTCTATGTTGTTTGAAGTTTTAAACAAATATAGGTCACATTATAATTAGAAAAGGTTATAAGAGTATTTCCAGTAAAGGAAAAGGCAGTCTCTATCTTACAGAGTTCACTTCTTCTTCTCTAGAGGAAACCTCTATGTTGAGTTCAGACACACCTGCTTTATAATCCTGGCTCTGCCATTTACCCAGCTGTTGACACCAGGAAAACCACTGAGCCTCTCTGAGTCTATCCTCTATTCTATTACGTAAGGACGTTCCTTTCTTCCTAGACTGGCAATGAGGATTATGTGAGGTAATGTTTGCACAGGGCCTGGCCTAGCGCCTGGCACTCACAAAGTGTTCAATTAAAGAAAAGAAAAAATGAGTGCCTTGTCTTTTTAACAAGTACAATGGACAAGATCTAAACTTTAGCCAGGGATGTCAAACCATGACCAAGGGGGATGCAGTGGGGTGCCTACTTGGTATGTAGCCTGCAGCTTGGCACTGCATAGACAAAAATCCATCAGAGCACGTGTTCTCTACCTAAGGCACTTACTTGCTAGGTGGGAGACTGATAACTGTGATTAGTAACATTTTTTTTTTTTTTGAGATGGAGTCTCACTCTGTCACCCAGGCTGGAATGCAGTGGCACGATCTTGGCTCACTGCAACCTTTCCCTCCTGGGTTCAAACGATTCTCCTGGCTCAGCCACCTGAGTAGCTGGGACTACCGGTGCATGCCACTAAGCTCAGGTAATTTTTCTTTGTATTTTTAGTAAAGTCGTGGTTTCACCATGATGTCCAGGTTGGTCTCAAACTCCTGACCTCAAGTGATCTGCCCCCATTGTCCTCCAAAAATGCTGGGATGACAGGTGTGAGCCACTGTTCCCAACCAGTAACATATCTTGAGCACCTACTATGTGCCAGGCACTGCTTGATTTCCCTAATGTGATAACTCATTTAATCATTGCAATCACTATTGTAGACAAACACTATTATTATTATCATCCCCCCTTTACAGGTAAAGAAATCAAAATACAAATAAATTACCTGTCTTGGCCATGGTCACCCAGCTGGTTGGGGTACAGCTGAATCTAGAACCCAGAACCCTGACTTCCGAGTCTGAACTCTTAACCCCCATGCACACCTTTGCCATGTAATTAAGGGTGAGGCCAGGGTTAGAGAGGGGAATTCAGGAAAAAGGGGCAGCTTTGTAACAGAAGCTTAGCCACCAAAACCTTGGAAAAGGCCAGGGGTGCTTAAACTTGAGTGACTACCAGAATGTCCTGGGGGGCTTACAATAACACAGGTTGCCAGGCCCTACCCCCACGGCTTCTGATGCAGCAGGTTCAGGATGGGGACCAAGGATGTAAATTTCTGAGAAGCTCCCAGGTTATGCTGCTGCTGTTAGTCCAGGTACCCCAGTTGGAGAACCACTGTTCTAAGCCCCCTGGGGTGCACGGGATTCAGACTGACTAGGAGCAAGGGTAAGGTAGCCCAGGAACTGAGACCTTCCAAATATGCGGATTATGCAAACAATAATACCAGCCATCTAGTCCATTACTAAAGGCTTCAATGACTTCAAAACGTTCATGGAAGATGTGTATTATTCACATCTCCTTATTCACTAGTCGTGGCATAGCCATGCTGATTTTTTAAAATGTTAAATCATGAGTAGCTTTAAAGAAATGTAGCAAAAACACTTGTTTATAAATGCAGCATAATTGCCCTTTGATTTTTCACCTCTGAGTGATGAAGCATTCAAAAAGTGTCCTTCAACAGTGTATTAGTCTGTTCTCATGCTGCTAATAAAGACATACCTGAGAGTGGGTAATTTATAAAGGAGAGAGGTTTAATTGACTCACAGTTTAATTGACTCCCCAGCATGGCTGGGGAGGCCTCAGGAAACTTACAATCATGGCAGAAGGGGAAGAAAACACGTCCTTCTTCACATGGAAGCAGCAAGGAGAAGAATGAGCAAAATAGGGGTCAGGGGGAAGCCCCTTATAAAACCATCAGATCTCGTGAGAACTCATTCACTATCAGGAGAACAGCATGGAGGTAACTGTCCCCATGTTTCAATTACCTCCCTCCAGGTCCCTCCCACGACACATGAGGATTATGGGAACTACAATTCAAGATGAGATTTGGGCAGGGACACAGCAAAACCATATCAAACAGCCAATCAATGAAATGAAAAGGAATTTCATTCTTTATCTGAGTCTATCAAAGGATGTTATTGAGGATGCATTTCATGGCTCACCCCATGTTACTTCCAGTGAACACTTTACCTTCCTCAATTTTCTTCCACATACTCAAGGACATTCCCCCTTTAAACTCCTCCCAAAAGGTCTCTCTTCAACCCTGGTAGAAACAAAGAAAAGAGAACATTTTCTATTTCTATACAAAAAAAGTCACTGGGATTTTGTTGGGGATAGCATTGAATCTACAAATTTACTTTGGGTAGTGTAGATATTTTAACAATATTAAGTCTTCAAATCCATGACATGAACTTCTTTCCATTTATTTGTGTCATTTTTCATTGCTTTCATCAATGTTTTGTACTTTTCACTGTACCAATGTGCCTTTACAGTTAAATTTGTTTCTAAGTATCTTATTTTTTTAATACAGTATGTCTCTCCTTTTATTTAGACCTTCTTTGATTTCTTTCATTGGCATATTGCATTTTTTAGTATATCTGTATCATTTAGTCCTGTATATGCTTTATCAGATTTGTAGCTATGCTGTTGTAAATGGTATTGTACTTTTTAATCTTTGTGTCCATGTGTTCATTGGTAGTTTGTAGAAACATAATTGTTTTTGCATGTTTATCTTTTTGATGCTGTTGTAAATAAGGTCACTTTCTTTATTTTTTGCCAATAGTTTATTTTTAGTGTATGGAAATGCAGCTGATTTTTCTTTTTTTTTTTTTTTGAGAGAGAGAGGGTCTCACTTTGTCATCCAGGCTAGAGTGCAGTGGACCAATCATGGCTTACTGTAGCTTCGACCTAGGATCAAGCAATCCTCCCACCTCAGCTTCCTGAGTAGCTGAGACTACAGTTGTGTGCCACCATGCCTGACTAATTTGTTTTTTTTTATTATTTATTTTTGTAGTGATAGAGTCTCGCTATGTTTCTCAGGCTGGTCTCAAAACCTGAACTCAAGCTATATTCCTACCTCAGCCTCCAAAAATGTTGGGTGAGCCACCATGCCTGGTGCAACTGATTTTTAAATGATGATTTTGTGTCCTGTGACTTTACTAAATTCATTTATTAGTTCTAACACTTTTTTGGTGGAGTCTTTAGATTATGCCATCTGCAAATAGAGACAATTTTACTTTTTTTCCGATCTGAATGTCTTTTTAAATATCTCATTTTTTCCCTAATTGCTCTGGCTTCTACTACCATCCTTAATAGAAGTAGCTAGAGTGAGCATCGTTGTCTTGTTCCTGATCTTAAAGGAAACACTTTCAGTTTTTCACCACTGAGTATGATGTTAGCTGTGGGCTTTTCATATACAGTCTTCAGCGTTCTGAGGTAAGTTTCTTCTACACTTAATTTGCTGAAAGTTTTTGTCGTAAAATGGTGTTGAATTCTGTCAAATGCTTTTGCTGCATCTACTAAGATGATTATATGCTTATTAACCTTCATTCTCTTAATATGGGATATTATATTCATTGCTCTGTATATGTTGAACCATCCTTGCATCCCAGGGATAAATCTCACTTTTCAGGGTGTATGATATTTTAATGTGCTGTTGAATTTGATTTGCTAGTATTTTGTTATGAATTTTTGCATCTGTGTTCATCAAGGATATTAGCCTGTAGTTTTTTTTCTTATAGTATCTTTGGCATTAGTAACAGGGTAATTCTGGCCTCATAAAATATGTTTGGAAGGGTTTCTTCCTCTTCAATTTTTTGGAAGAGCTTGAAATATATTGGCATCAATTCTTCTTTAAATGTTTGCTAGAATTCACCAGTGAAGCCATCTGGTGCTAGGCTTTTCTTGGTTGAGAAGTTTCAATCTAGGCAATGATTTCTCGGATATGACATCAAAAGCATACACAACAAAAGCAAAAAGTTACTAGTGGGACTACATCAAATTGAAAGCTTCTGCAGCACAAGGGAAATAATCAACAGAGTGAAAAAACAACCTATGGGATGGGAGAAAATATTTGCAAACTGTTTATCTGATAGGGGTTAATACACAAAATATACAAGAACCTCTTACAACTCAATGGCAAAAATACAAATAACCTAATTTTAAAATGGGAAAAGTATTTGAATGAACATTTCTCCAATGATTTACAAATGGCCAAGTACAAAAGGAATTCAAAATGTTCACAGAAGATGTGTATTACAAAAAAAACTAGGCATGGATTTCAAAATTTTTTACATGGAAATAAACTTATACTAACTTGTTACAACATGTCTCAACAGGATCTAGTTGGAGGCACTAGGAAGGATAAGACATCAGTTTGAGAATAGTCCTTATCAAAGCAACATGAATTCTACTAAAATTGAAGCAAAGACAAACATCAAATGTATGGTAAAGCTTGGGTAGAAGAATGGCAAAATCATCGATGTTTTATGAAAAATTTATGGGGATGATGCCCCAAAGACATCAGCTGTTTGCAAATGGATAACTCACTATAAGAAAGGACGAGACACTGTTGATGATGAAGCCCACGGTGGCAGACCATCCACAGTGATTTGTAAGGAAAAAATTAATCTTGTGTGTGACCTAATTGAAAAGGATCAATGACTAACAGCAGAGACAATAGCCAACATCACAGACATCTCAGTTGGCTCAGTTTATGCAATTTCAACTGAAAAATTAAAGTTGAGCAAACTTTCTACTCAATGGCACCAACACCATCAGCTGCATCCAGACCTGCTGCAGACAAGAGCAGAGCTTTCAATGAAAATTTTGGACAAGTAGAATTAAGGTTCTGAAACATTTCTTTGAAGAATTGTAACAGGAGATGAAACATGGCTTTACTATTATAATCCTGAAGACAAAGAACAATCAAAGCAATAGCAACCAAGAGGTGGAAATGGTCCAGTAAAAGCAAAAGCAGAGCAGTCAAGAGCAAGGTCATGGCAACAGTTTTCTGGGATGCTCAAGGCATTTGCTTGTTAACTTTCTGGAGGGCCTAAGAATTATAATATCTGCTTATTATGAGAATGTTAGTTAAAGCTTTAGCAGAGAAACACCTGGGAAACCATCACCAGAAAGTCCTTCTCCACTTCAACAACACTCCTGTTCATTCCTCTCATCAAACAAGTGCACTTTTGCAAGAGTTTGAATGGAAAATTATTAGGCATCCACCTTCCAGTCCATATTTGGTTTCTTCTGACTTCTTTTGGCTTCCTAATCTTAAAAAGTATTTAAATGGTACCCATTTTTCTTCAGTTAATAACATAAAAAATACTGGCTTAACATGGTTAAATCCCCAAAACCCTTGGTTCTTTAGTGATGGACTAAATGGCTGGTATTACTGCTTGCAAAAGTGTCTTGAAGTTGATGATTCTTATGTTGAGAAAAATAAAGTTTGCATTTTTTCTTTTTATCTTTTAATATAAAAGATAGAGTTTTTCTTCATGAATTTTTGAAGTCCTCTCATATATGAGAAGGTGCTCGACATCACTAACCATCAGGGAAACACAAATCAAAACCACAATGAAATATCACGTCATACCTATTAGAATGGCTATTTTCAAAGGGAAAATAGATGTGCTGGCAAGGATGTAGAAGAAAAAGAACTCTTGTACGCTATTGGTGGGAATGTAAATTGGTATGGCCATTTTAGGAAACAAAATAGAAGTTCCTCCAATAATTAAAAATAGAGCTACCATATGATCCAGCAATTCCACTCCAGAGTTTATAGCTAAAGGAATTGAAATGAGGATTTTGAAGAGATAATCTACACTTCAAGTAGCACACACAGGTAGCCAAGTCATGGAAGCAACCTCAACAAAATATTATCCAGGCTTAAAAAAAACAAGGAAATCTTCCCATTTACATACAATATGAATCAAACTGGTAGACGTTATGCTAAGTGATACAAACCAGTCACAGAAGGATAAATACTGCATTATCCCACTTCTATGAGAAATCTAAAATAGCCAAACTCATAAAAGCAGAGAACAGCATGGTGGTTGCCAAGGCTGGGGAAAGAGGGACATGAGGAGTTGTTTTCTCAATGGGTATAAAGTTTCTGTTATGCAATATGGATAAGTTCTCAAGATCTTCTGTATAACATAGTGCCTGTAGTTAATACAATAAAGTGTACTTAAAAATTTGTTAAAAGGGTGGATCTCATGTTAAGTGTTCTTAACACACACACACAAACACACACACACACACACACACAAAGGGACAAAAGAAAACTTTGGAAGGTGATGGATCTGTTTATTACCTTGATTGGGATCCACATTATTTGGGTATTATTGCCACTAAAAATATTACTAGCAAGGAAGCCAGGTGGTACTTTTTTTCCATTTTTCTCAGTTGATTTTGCCAGATGATTGTGTTCCAGTTACTTCTTCCTGCAAGAATAAGGATAGTATACACTAAGTTTATTTTGTTATTGTTGCTGTAGTCTTTTCAGATGAGATGAAAAAGTCATGAACTCTATCAAATCCCAGATTAAAAACAGCAACAACTAAGAAGTCTCTATAGAAGTTTAAGTGATGTGAATTCTAAAAATTAAAGAGAATTTTTAAGTGCAATTGCTAGAATCTCAATTCATTAAAATAAATGTAGTTTGAGATTTGGTATCATGTTAAAAATTTGGAAGCTGCTGTCATGTTGTGACTAATTTAATATTCTTGGAAAATAACATTTTTGTGGAGGGAGAGAAGTGCTGATTTTCTCATTGACTTTGGCGGGCGGAGGAATCCAGAAAGTAGGATATGGGTTTCCCATTCTTGTTCCCCCAAAATGCCTATATTACCTCCAAAACTCAGTGAGAAAATGACCCACTTATTTGGACCTCAGATCTCCCATCTACTCTTCAAGCAGTGTGACCTTTTTTAATATGGTATATGTTGGAGTTTAAATATAAGGCTTCTCTTGAGAAAAGATTTCTGCTGCTAAAAGTAGGTTGATCGACTCAATGGTAAAAACACATTTCCCCCTTGTGGGACTCAATAAAACTATTTTCAAGTTTAATGGAAAAAATAGGCTATAAAATTGTTTTATTTTTCCTGAATACTTCTTTCTGATGTAAAAAAACAGGGTTATTTGTCACTGATCTAAACCATGGTTTTGTATCTTTCAGGTTTATAGGAAAATAAGAAGCTCTCTCTCTCTACTCCCACCTCAATGTTACCACCCCCAAGCAAAACCACAGTCCATTTTCCCTGTTGAGGGCCCCATGTATGATGTTAGAAAAAGGATCTGGCTGTCTTCCCTTATGTCTGTTTCAAAGGTTATGGACATAGCTCTGGTTTCTCTATTTCCCTGAACATATCATTATTTAAACACCATGCATGGATTCATGTAAACCAGTGGCTTTTAGCCCTCATTTTATATCCAAAGCCCCTGGGAACTTTAAAAAAATCTAGATTCCCAGACCTCATGCCAGATCTACTGAAAGAGAATCTCCAGGGGTATGTTCTGGGCATCTTTAAGAAAGAGCAATTTAAGGATAGTTTTCTCATTCTTCCTCCTGAAATCAGAGTATAGTCAGTATCATGGAGGGAAGCTGGCTTCACCATCTGAGCACAAAAGGCTGTTCATCACCCACTTAGACACCAACAGGTGGGCATGTCAGGAGGCCCAGGAGCTCCTGAACATGCCCTTTCTCTTCATGCACAGGCCCTTTCAGGGTCAAAATACTCTACTGAGCACCATCTTGGTTCTTTCCTCCATACCAGACACTGCCTAAGACAGGTGACACTCCTGAGGAGAAAGGTTATGAACTCCTAAATTAGCATCTTCCAAATCTACTTATCCTGTGCAATGCCCAGTGGAAAATAGAGCTCTGTGGTTAAGTTCAGGATATGCTACTAGCACCGAACTGCTTTTAAGAGCCACTATGCTGGTGCACGTCTGTGGTTCCAGCTACTCTGGTGGCTGAGGCTGGAGGATTCTTGAGCCTAGAAGGTTCAGACTGCAGTGAGCCATGATCATGCCACTGCACTGCAACCTGGGTGACACAGTGAGACTCTGCCTTGGGAAAAAAAAAAAAAAAGAAACAACCAAGAGCCACTATGCACTTGGACTCTAAAAAATTCTGCAATCAAGAAATCTGTTTACTGAGCATTCCCCACCTGTATTCGACTACGGTACCCTTTTCTATTAATATCCCTATCAGTATCTGAGGAACACACTTTGCCACATGTTGATCCCGACTATGAGCTGCTGGATATAAGGTCCAGTGTCCCCTGATGCCTTACTCCTCAAAGCAACTGGAGAAGGAGAGGAAGCAAGGCAGAGTCCAGGAACAGGAAAGACATAGTTTGGCCGAGGGGATTTAGCAGCCTGATAGTAATCAGAGAACTTGAGTGTAATTGCTTGTGTTGTTTCTGAAAGCATCTCAGCCAGGCTGGTGGTCCAACGTCCAAATTAGCTAATGGGGACAGGAGGGCTTTACATGTTTAGAAATGAGGGCTTTTTGGATCAGCACTCAAAGATACTCCAATTTTTTGGAAAATTGCCATTTTCCTCTTATATCATGATTCTCAAACTTTAGCTTGCATCGTCTCCCCTGGAGGCTTATGAAAACACAGATTGTCAGGTTCCACTCTGGGAGTGGCTGAGGCAGCAGGTCTGGAGTGGGGTCAGAGAATTTGCATTTCTAACAAGTTCCCAGGTGATGCTGATCTGTTGGTCCGGGGACCACACTGAGGATGACTGCTTTAGGAAGTAAAGAAGTGCAACAGAAGAAGGGAAGGGGATACAAGTGATAGACAAAGAGGAAACCGAATAAAAAGAAGAAAGAAAATATAAAAGAGGAGTGGGAGAGAAGACAGGGAGATAGTGAGAATGACAGGAGAACAAGGGAAAGGGGAGAGAAACAGCTGGGAAGAGAGAGGAAAGCTAGGAAAAGAGGACCACAATAGAAGAATAATGAGTAAAAGAGAAGAAAAAGGGAGAAAAAGAAAGAAGGAGACTGAGCTGCTTGCAGACTTGCATAAGGGTTCCCAAGGTGTCAACGTTGGTATCTGGGCAAAGGACCAGTGGTAGTGAAGCTTCCTGCATCTGTGGGGACACCTACTGTATACACAGCAACAACTTCCGCATCCATATTGCTTGTGGATATGCCCAGGTTTCCAGTTCCCTGGCCTCAGCTTGGTTACACCAGCTGCTTTGGAAGCAAACCTGGCTCCAGTTAAAGGAGAAAGCCATGAGAAAGGAGGACAGAGTTCTCATGTCCTTATTTCCCCATCCTGACCTCCTCCCCTCCTGGGTCTTTTCAGATCCTGGATTCCCTTCTCAACTTCCCCTCTAACCCAGAAGGACAGCCAACTGAAGCTGGAGCCAACTCTCCCTCCCCAGGGCTTCTGCTCCCAACTGCTGGCCTGCACACGTCCTCCAGCCACCCCAAGACTCAACAAGCTCTACCTTTGGGGCTGTGCTGGTCTCCACCCCCAATGTCAGACAAACAAATGGGATCTTAGGGGTCCAAGGAAGCCCCACTGGCGGTTGCTGATAAAATTCACATGTTGTCCCTTGGGCAGTCTTCAGGGCTAGGATGCGTGCATCATGAGAACCCAAAGCCACCTCCACGAGAGGAAATCCTAGTGGGTGGAGAGGAGCCAGGGCTTGGCTATGCCACCTCATTCAAAAGAGGTGCACAATGGCCCCTGGAGATGGACTCTGTTGTAGCAAGAGGTGGATAAACAGGCCGAGGAATTGTGGGCTCAGCCTGGGAATCAGACTGAGATGGCAGTACGTCTCTTCCCTGGAGGTGCGAGAAAACCTGGCTATAAATCAAGGAAATTAAATAGAGTGCAGGGCTTAAGGTCATTGCTCAAGCTCCTAATCCAGATCCCAGAGTTGCTGAAAGGATCACCACGCCCAGCAGCCCAGAAGGAGGGAAGCTCTGTTTCACAGGCTTTCCGCTCCCCAGAGCACAGTGAGGAGGCTGGACGTGGTGGGAACTTCAAGTGCGTAAGCTGCTTCGCCATCCCAGGGCAGCGGAATGTGAGAGCTGGAAAGGGGCTCACAGACCATCTCCTCCTAATGTTCCCCTTTTAAAGACAGAGAAACCAAGACCAGATGAAGAAAAGAGGAATTTGTACAAAGGCACAGAGGCATTTGTTATCAACAAAATCCACAGGCAAATAAAATCGCAGGTGGCAACTGGAAACTGTGCCAGGGAGCAATTTACGGGTGATTTGCTTTGAGAATCATGAGGTCCTGCAGAACAGTAAGTGGGGATAGAGCAAAGTTCCAGGAGGCAGGACCCATCCTGACAATAAACAAGCAAACAGCAAACAGGTGCTTTTGCCTATCATACAGCTATGCAAGCACATGCATAAGTTTTTAAAATTTTTCAGCTTTTATTTTAGACTCAGGGGGTATATCTGCAGATTTGTGACATGGATATCATGCACGATGCTGGAGTTTGGAATGCAAATGATCCCATCACCCAGGTAGTGAGCGTAGTACCCAATAGGTGGGTTTTCAGCCATTTTCCTTCCCTCCCCCGTTTAGTGGTCTCCAGTGACTGTTGTTCTGATCTTTATGTCTATGTGCATTCAATGTTTAGCTCCCATTTATAAGTGAGAACATGAGGCATTTGGTTTTCAGTTCTTGTGCTGGTTTACTTAGAGTAATGGTTTCCAGCTCCATCCATGTTGCTGCAAAGGGCATGACTTTGTTCTTTTGTATGGCACGCATAACTTTTTGTAAAATTTTGTCAAACATTTAGTATAAGTGGACAAGCAACTTGGAAAGAATGAAAATCTTACTTACCATGCAGATTAAAGAATGACTGTGGGTTTCTTTAGAGCATTTATGATGTGTCAGACATGGGGCCAAGCCCTTTACTTTAGTCTTCTCACTTAATCTCCACAAATGCCGGGAGGAACTATTTTTGTTGCTGCCATTTTTCCAATAAGGAGAGTGAGGCACAGAGCAATAATTGCTCAAGATTGAAATCTAGCGTCTCTGTGTTTTTTACTTCACTCTCCAATATGAGCATTTTTCAGTAGCAGAAATTATTTTTCTATGGCATCACTTTTAAGGGTTCACCATGATTTCATGGTAGAGTGGACACAGTATCTTTGAGCACACAGGGTCTGTGCTCATCTCTGTGGCAGAGTTCTGCAAACTCTTTTTCTTAAAAGGGAAGAGAATGCATATTCTCCGTTGTGCTGACCCTGGGGTCCTGTTGCAAGTACTCAGCTCTGCTGCTGTGGCACATGCAAGTAGCCATAGACAGTACAGAACCCAACAAAATTTCATTTGCAAAAACAGGAGGTGAGCTGAATTTGGCGAGGGGGCTGTAGTTTGCTGCCTGCACCTTGCTATAAGGTCTCACACCTAGTAAATACTCAATGGATACAGTCATTGTTATTGATGTTATCTATCAAAATAGCTTTAACAATATATGATAATAATATACATACATCTCTGAGCCAACTTCTCCAGTACAGACACAAAATCGTGGAGAACAGTGATTCTTCAACTTTACCGTGCATGAGAATCCATGGAACTTCTTAACAATGCGGAAGTGGCCTCATCTTCAAAGAACCTGATGCAGATAATCTGAGTTAGAGCCCAAGAACTGGCAAAAAAAAAAAAAAAAAAAAAAAAAAAAAAAAAAAAAGAAGAAGAATAATCTGCTATTTAAAATTAGAGCCCAAGAATTAATTGGCAAAAAAAAAAAAGAAGAAGAAGAAGAAGAAAAAAGAAGAAGAATCTGCTCTTTAAAATTAGAGCCCAAGAATTGGCAAAAAAAAAAAAAAAAAAAAAAGAAGAATCTGTTATTTAAAAGAGCATTCCCGGGTGGCCCTGATGATGGAGAACTGGGGTGAGCATGCTTACAAAAAACACTAAGCGTTTGCTTAGATGAATCATGCACTGAAAAGCAATGAAAGACGTCATGGGAAAGGCTGGCAGGAAACTCATGAGTAGGGAGGAGCCAAGTCATGTCCCTGGCAGGACAGTCCTTCAGCCACTTTAGGGTGTCCCTGGAAGGGACAGTGACTAGATAGGCATGGTGGAGTGTTGAGAACAACAGATCTCATTGGGAAAGCGTCTACTATGTGCCAGGTGGTTCCCTTGGGTTAACTCAATTCTTTCAACAACTCTTACATCTGTCCCCTCCCCATCAGAATGCAGCAGGGAGGAGCAGAGCTTGCCTACCAATGGGCGGGATGCTGGTGTCAGGGTTTGTGTTCTTGCCACTTCTTCGCAGAACCCGCATGAAGATCCGGGAGTTTGGGGCATGGAAAAACTGGGACACAGAGGGTGAACTGGGCTCAGAGTGGAGAAGGGACCCGTGGGTGTTCAAGGCCTCAAGACCCAAATAGGTCTGGAGGAAAAGAGCCTGGCTTTCCAGCCAGCTCTTGATCATGTTGACTGGCTGATTTCTCAAGAGTCCCAAGGGGAAGTTCTCAGATTTCCAATTCTAAGCAAGGGAATAATGGTTCTTAGTATCAAGGTCACATGACCCACTCTGCAGCGCACCTGTATCGGGATCCAGAGCCCGGTGCCTCAGTTCTTGCTGTGGTTTGGCAAAGAGATTCCTGCTACTTCAATTTTCACTGAATGGCCACCCCTGAGCATGCAGATGAGGCTTGATAAATTATAGCTGAATTCCCCTGGTGCCCAAATCTTTTTTTTCCTCATTTACAGTACTTTAGCACTGACAGTAATAAAAGCAAAAATTGTCACAGGTAGACACTTTCTCCATTGAAAATGATTTAATCTTCCCAGCATTCCTGTGGTAATCATGTGAGAATTAATGCATATTTCACGGAAATTTCACATCTATCAAACGTTATACCCATTTTAGAGATGTGGAAATCAAGGCTCAGGAAGACTATATGATGTTTTTCCTCAAATTGTAAAGTTATAAGTAGAGGAGGCAGGATGTTAATGATACATTTAACCACCGTGACATGAGCCTTTTTAGTTTCAAAACACTCACTCATGTATGATTTCGTTTGCACCTTACTTACAGCAACCTGTGGTTTGTTCAA